>NC_000013.11:71135378-71286893 GCF_000001405.40 Homo sapiens | reverse complement strand
TCATACCTGCTGACTAAAGAGGGTTTTGGCCCTGAATAATCAGCAGTGGTACCCACGCAGTACTCACCATGGGCCTTGGGTGAGACTCAGGGACATGCTGGCTTCAGGTGTAACCGAGCACATTACTAGCTATGTGGCTATGGGAAGGGATTCCTTCTATTTGAGAATAGGACAGGGAAGAGTAAGGAGAATTTTGTCTTGCAGCTTAGGAACCAGCTCAGCCACAGTGGGGTAGAGTACCAAGTAAGCTTGTGGAGTCCCCAGTTCCAGGCATTGACTCTTGGATGGCATTTCTGGACCATAGGGGAGCCCACTGCCCTCAAGGGAGCATCTGCCACAAGATATTCAAGAGCCCTTGGGCCTTAAATGAACATCAACCGTAGTCAGACAGTACTGCCACAAGCCTAGGGAAGTGGTCGCCATAAGAAGAGATTCCCCTGCTTGTGGAAAGGGGAGGAAAGAGTGGGAAGGAGTTTGTCTTGTGACTTGGGTGCCAGCTCAGCTATGGAAAAATAGAACACCAGGTAGATTCCTGAGGTTTTCTACTCCAGGTTCTGGTTCCCAGATAGCAACTCTGGACCTGCTAGGGACCAGGGGAAGCTCACTGCCCTGAAGGGAAGGATACAATCCTGGCTAGCTTTGCCACTTCCTGATTGTAGAGTTCTAGAGCTTTGAGCAAACGTGGGCAGTAGCCAGGCAGTTGCTATTGGGACCTTGGATAAGACTCAGTACTTTGCTGGCTTCAGGTCTTACCCAGTGCAGTTCCAGTGGTGGTGGCCAGAGGGTTGCTTGGGTCATTCCTTTCCTAGTTCCAGGCAGCTCAGAAAAAGAAAAAAAAAAAAAAAGAGAGAGAGAATCCATTGGTTTGCAAGAAAGTAAAAGAAGAGAACAAGTCTCTTCCAGGTAATCCAGAAAATTGTTCTAGATCTTATCAAAGAACACCAAAGTGATACCTCTACAATTCTGCAAAAGCCAGAGCATTACTGGGCTTGGGGTGCCCCCTAATGCAGATATGGTTGCAGTTACCAAAAACTTAGACCACAACACCCAAGTCCTTTCGAATATGTAAAAAGCCTTCCCAAGAAGGATGGGTACAAACAAGCCCAGACTGTGAAGACTACAATAAATACCTAACTCTTCAATACACAGACACAAATGAACATCCAAAAGCATGAAAAACATCCATGAAAATATGATCTCACCAAATGAACTAGATAAGAAACCAGTGACCAACCCTGGAGAGACAGCAAAATGTGAACTTTCAAACAGAAAATTCAAAAACACCTCTTTTTATGAAACTCAATGAAATTCAAGATAACACAAGAAAAGAATCCAGAATCCTATCAAATAAATTTAACAAATATATTCAAATAATTAAAAAGAGTCAAGGAAAAATTCTGTAGATGGGAAATGCAATTGGCCTACCGAAGAATGCATTAGAATCTCTTCACAGCAGAAGTGATCAATCAGAAGAATGAATATTGAGCTTGAAGACTGTGTATTTTAAATTACATGGTCAGAGGAGACAAAAGAAAAAAGAATAAAAAAATGAAGCAAACCTAAAAGATCTAGAAAATATTCTCAACAGGGAAAATCTAAGAGTTATTATCCTTAAAGAGAAAATAGAGAGAGATCAGGGTAGAAGTTTATTCAAAATGATATTAATAGAGAACATCCTGAACCATACAAAGATATCAATATTTAAGTACAATAAACTTATGGAACACCAAACAGATTTAACCCAATTAAGACTACATCAAGACATTTAATAATCAAACTTCCAAAGGTCAAGGATAAAGACCTTGCTAAAAGCAGCAAGAGAAAAGAAAGAAGTAACATAAAATGCAGTCCAATATGTCTGGCAGCAGAGTTTTCAATGGAAATCTTACAGGCTCTGAAATAGTGGCATGATATGTCTAAAGTGATGAAGAAATACAAAAACTTTTACCTTAGAGTAGTATATTCAGTAAAAAATTTTCTTCAAACATGGAGGAGAAATAAAGACTTTCCCAGAAAAAGAAACAAAAGCTGAGGGATTTCAACAACATCAAACCTGTCCTATAAGAAATGCTAAAGAGAGTTATTCAATCTGAAAGAAAAGGACATTAATGAGCAATAAAAATTATCTGAATATACAAAACTCACTGGTAATAGTAAATATAAAGAAAAACATATGACTGTAACACTGTAAGTGTGATGTGTAAATGACTCATATCTTAAGTAGTACGAATGAAAATAAACTGATAAAAGATAATACATATGACAACTTTTAAAGACTCAGACAGTAAAATAAGATATAAATAGAAACAATAAAAAGTTAACAAGTGGGAGGATGACGTTAAAGTGTAGAGTTTTTAATTTATTTTTCTCTTTGCTATTTAGCTTATTTATGAAAAAAGGACCCCAAAATCTGTTGCCTACAAGAAACACACTTCACCTATAAAGACACAGATAGCTTGAAAATAAAGGGATGGACAAAGATGTTTCATACCAACAGAAACCAAAAAAGAGCAGTAGTAGCTATACTTACATCAGACAAAATCGATTTCAAGACAAAAAGTATGAAAAGAAACAAAGAAGGTCATTATATAATGATAAAGGGGTCAATTCAGCATAAAGGGTATAATAATTGTAAAGATACATGCACCCGACACTGGAGCACAAAGATATATAAAGCCAATATTATTAGAGCTAAAGAGAGAGATAGACCCCAATGCAATAATAGTTGGAGACTTCAGGTTTCAGCATTAGACAGATTATTCAGGAAGAAAATCAAAAAAGAAACACCAGACTTAACCTGCACCATAAACCAAATGAACCTTATAGATATTTACAGAACATTTCATCAAATAGCTGCAGAATACACATTCTTCTCCTCAGCATATGAATCATTCTCAAGGAAGACTATTTGTTAGGCCACAAAACAAATCTTAAAAAATTCAAAAACTTGCAAATATCTCAAGTATTTTCTCTGACCACAGTGGAATAAAACTAGAAATCAATAACAAGAAGAACTTTAGAAACAATCAAAATACATGGAAATTAAACAATATGTCTCTGAGGGACCAGTGGGCGAGTGAAGAAATTAAAAAGAAAATGTAAAAATTTCTTGAAACAAATGATAATGGGAATAAAAGATACCAAACCTATGGGATACAGTGAAAGCTATACTAAGATAAAAGTTTATAGCTATAAGTACCTACATCAAAAGAGTAGGAAAATTTCAAAGAAACAATGCAATGATGCATCTTAAAGAACTAGAAAAGCAAGAGCAAACCAAACCCAAAATTAATAGAAGAAAAGTAATGACAAAGACCAGAGCAGAAATAAACAAAATCAACAAACTCTTAGCCAGACTAACCAAAAAGAGAGAGAGAAGACACAAATAAATAAAATCACAGCTGAAAAGGAGAAACTACAATTGTTACCACAGAAATTCAAAGGTTCATTAGAGGCTACTATGAACAAGTATATGCCAATAAATTGGAAAAACCTAGACGAAATGGTTAAATACCTAGACATATGCAACCACCAAGATTGAACCATGAAGAAATCTAAATCTGGACTAGATGAATAACAAGTAACCAGATTGAAGCCATAATAAAGTGTCCCACTAAAGAAAAGCCCAGTATCTGATGGCTTCATTGATGAATTTTACCAAACATTTAAAGAACTAATGCCAATGTTGTTCAAACTATTCTGAAAAATAGAGGAGGAGAGAATAGTTCCAAACTCATTCTACAGTGTCAGTATTACAGTGATACACAAATCGGACAAAGGCACATCAAAAAATAAAACTACAGGCCAATATCCCTGATGAACATTGATGTGAAAATCCTCCACAAAATACTAGCAAATTTAATCCAACAGCACATCAAAAAGATACTATGCAATGATCAGGTAGGATTTATACCAGGGATGCAAGATTGGTTTAGCAGATGCAAATCAATAAATTTGATACTTCACATTAACAGAATGAAGGATAAAAATTATCTGATCATTGCAATAGATGCAGAAAAAGTACTCAATAAAATTCAGCATCTCTTCGCGATAAACATTCTCAACAAACTAAACTTAGAAGAAACATACCTCAATTTAATAAAGGCCATATATGACAAACCCATAGGCAATATCATACTGAATAGAGAAATGTTTAAAATATCCCTCCACCCCCAAGAACTGGAGCAAGACAAGGATGCTCACTTTCACCACTCCTATTGAGCACATTACTGGAAATTCTAGCCAGCAATCAGGCAAGAGAAAGAAATAAGAGGCATCCAAATTGAAAGGAGGAAATATAATAGTCCATTTCACAGGTGATATATTATATTTAGAAGGAACATACCTCAATACAATAAAAATCATATATGACAGACCCACAGCTAGTATCATACTGAATGGAGAGAAATGGAAACCCCCTCCTTTAAGATCTGGAACAAGACAAGGATACCCACTTTCACCACTGTTATTCAACATAGTACTGGAAGTCCTAGCTACAGCAATCAAACAAGAGAAAGAAGTCATCCAAATTGGGAAGGAAAAAGTCAAAGTATCCTTCTTTGTAGATGATATATATGATCTCATATTTACAAGAACCTGAAGACTCTACCAAAACCTATTAGAACTGATCAACAAATTTAGTAAAGTTGCAGGATAAAAAATCAACATACAAAAATCAGTAACATCTCCATGTGCCAACAGCAAACAATATGAAAAAAAAAATCAAGAAAGTAATCCCATTTACAATAGCTAAAAATAAAATTAAATACCTAGGAATTAACTTAACCAAAGAAGTAAAAGATTTCTGCAATGGACACTATAAAGCAATGATGAAAGAAATTGAAGAGCACATAAAAAATAGAAAGATATTCTACGTTCATGGATTGGAAGAATAAATATTGTTAATATGTCCATACTACCCAAAGCAATCTACAGATTCAGTGCAATCCCTATCAAAATACCAATGACATTCTTTGCAGAAATAGAAAGAAAAATCCTAAAATTTATATGGAACCACAAAAGACACAAAATAGCCAAAGCTATCCTGAGCAAAAAGAACAAAATTGCAGGAATCACATTACCTACGTTTGAATTATACTACAGAGCTATAGTAATCAAAAGAGCATGATACTGGCATAGAAACATATAGAGATGAATGGAACAGAAGAGAGAAACCAGAAACAAATCCATACATCTACAGCTAACTCATTTTTGACAAAGTTGCCAAGAACATACATTGGGGAAAGAATAGTCTCTTCAATAAATGGTGCTGGGAAAGCTGGATATCCATATGCAGAAGAATGAAACCAGTTTCCTATCTCTAACCACACACAAAAATCAAATCAGGGTGGAATGAAGACTTAAATCTAAGACCTTAAACTATGAAACTACTAAAAGAACACATTGTGGACACTCTCCAGGACATTGGATTGGGCAGTGATTTTTTGAGTAATACCACACAATCACAGGCAACCAAAGCAAAAATGGACGAATTAGATCACATCGAGTTAAAAAGCTTCTGTACAGCAAAGGAAATAATCATCAAAGTGAAGCGACAATCCACAAAATGAGAGAAAATATTTGCAAACTATGGGTCTGACAAGGCCTTAATAACGAGAATATAGAAGAAGCTCAAACAACTCTATAGGAAAAATTCTAATAATATGATTAAAAATGGGCAAGTGATCTGTATAGACATTTCTCAAAAGGAGACATACAAATGGCAAACAGGTATATGAAAAGGTGCTCAACATCATCAATCATCAGAGAAATGCAAATCAAAACTACAGTGAGATATCATCTCACCCTAAAATGGCTTTTGTCTAAAAGAAAGGCAATAATGAATGCTGACAAGGATGTGGAGTAACTTGTACACTGTTGATGGGAATGTAAATTAGTACAATCACTATGAATAACAGTTTGGAGTGTCTCAAAAGACAGCAAATAGTTCTACCATATGATCTAGGAATCCTACTGCTAGGTATATACCCCCAAAAAGGAAATCAGTATATCAAAGAGCTATCTCCCATGTCTAAAGCAGCATTATTCACAATAGCCAAGATTTGGAAGCAACCTAAGCGTCCATTAACAGATAAATGGATAAAGAAAACGGGGAACACATACACAATAAAGTGCTATTCAGCCATAAAAATGAGTGAGATCTGTCATTTGCAACAACATAAATAGAACTGGATGTCATTATGTTAAGTGAAATAAGCCAGGCACAGAATAACAAACTTCACATGTTCTCAGTTATTTGTGGGAGCTAAAAATTAAAACAACTGGACTCCTAGAGATAGGGAGCAGAATGATGGTTACCAGACTCTGGAAGTGCAGTGGGGTTGGGGGAGTGGGGATGGTTAATGGGTACAAAAATATAGTTAGACAGAATGAACACGATGTAGTATTTGATAGCACAACAGGGTGACTAGAGTAAATAATAATTTATTGTACATTTTTACATAACTAAAATAGTGTAATTGGATGATGTGTAACCCAAAAAAGGATAAATCCTTAAGGTGAAGCATACCCCATTTACTCTGATATGATTATTATGCATTGTATGCCTCTATCAAAGTATCTCATGTACCCCATAAATACATACACCTACCATGTACCCAGAAAAACTAAATAAAAAATTTGATTTGTAAAATGATTAAAATTAAGTGACTTTAAAAGAATAAACCCATTTTATGCAAATATACTCTTGCTTGCATTTTCTGTTGTTTTTGACTTCGCCTGTTAAAATAAATCAGCATTCTAGACTCGTTTTATACATTGATAAGAAAATGTTCTGTACTTGCAAGTACATATGAAATGAGAAGAAAGGAAGGAAACAGAAATATGGGGAAAATGACAGTCATCATACAATTTAATAACATATACTTTTAAAATAATAAAAATATTGTTGTACATGTGACTGTTGATTTTGCTTTGTTTATTTTTTTTTGAGACAGAGTCTCACTCTGTCACCCAGGCTGGAGTGCAGTCGTGCGATCTCAGCTCACTGCAAGCTCTGCCTCCCGAGTTCACACCATTCTCCTGCCTCAGCCTCCCAAGTAGCTAGGAATACAGGCGCCTACCACCACGCCCGGCTAATTTTTTGTATTTTTAGTAGAGACTGGGTTTCACTGTGTTAGCCAGGGTGGTCTCGATTTCCTGACCTTGTGATCCGCCCGCCTCAGCCTCCCAAAGTGCTGGGATTGCAGGCGTGAGCCACTGTGCCCGGCCCTGAATTTGCTTTTTAAACAAATATTTACTATCTGTTGATATTGACAAAGTAACAACTTGGCCATAGAGATCGGAAAATATAATATTGAAAAGAGAAAGCAAGTTATATAATATTTATACAATATTGTACTCCAAAATAAGAAGAAAACAGGACATCAGAGCTGGAGAAAAAGGGAAAACTTGCAAGAAATATTTTGGATCAATAATTCCAGGAATTGATATGTATTAAGTTATATCTAGGGTAAATATAAAATAGGATCTATATACATTAAACATGCACCCAAATATAAGGTGAATTCTGAAATGATAGAGCACAAAATATTTATGATAAGTTTCTGAAAATAGAACAATGTCATATGCTTGCCTCAAAATTACCTTTAATTTGTTATAAACTTTCTGGTAACAGAATTCTTGGTCAATAAAATGAAAGTTAATAAGGAATGGAGAAAGGCAAAATTTTCAGAAACTTAATAATATTTAGCAAGATTTTGGGAAGGGTCCTAGTCATGTTTTCAGTTGGCCACATGAATAAAGAAGAATTCAGTATTTTGTAAGATTTAGGCCCACCAAACCTGCATTTGTTTCAGAAACAGGTATAGGGAGAGAGAAATAACAAGTGAGCATGTAAAAACCTTGCAAATATATTAGGTTTCTTAAAAATAATAAAGCCGTTAGACTAAACAAAAATATAAATAACATTACTAAGTATAGTTCAAAGAATCTTTTGCTTGCTAAAAATATTTCATAATGTCTCCCTTCTGCAATCTCAACAAAATGTTTGTAAATTGGTTTTACATTGTTGCAGAGAATGTGCATTTTAAAGTCATTCTTTCCATTTTCTCTGTGTCTAATCCTGAATCCAAACATTCAATGCCTTCCTGATTTTATGGCCTGGTTTTGTTGACTCTTCTCTCCGGGGTCTCACTGTGATCCCAAAACTGCCGAGTAACTTGGATGCTTAAGATGAAAAAAGCTTTGTTTAAGCTTTATTTAACCTACTCAGCTCACCAGAGTTGGATAGGCATTTCTCAAACACTCTTTTCAATAAACTCAATAAAAAGGCTTATATAGCCCTCAAGCAATTAACAGTAACTTTATGCCAGCCTACATAAGAATCCAATAGAGAACTGTAATATGGCTCTGTCAGGACATTTTACACATGCCCCTACACACTGTATTCTAACACATGCAGGAGAAAAGTTCTGATGGGTTTATTTTGATTCAACTTTCTTTTTGTTTTGTAAAACTTAGTGGCAAAAATCATCATTCTAATTTTATTCTATTGTCTCTTCTCTAATATATTTTCTCTCTCTCTCTGTCTCTCTCTCTCCCTCTCTCTCTGTCTCTCTTTTTGTTTCTAATAGATAGAGCTCACAAACTTTGTATAATTCAAGAGTAATCTGGGATGCTCCCTACCTTGAACTTGATCAAAATATGTTTTCATTGTTAGTCAGGATCAGATTTGCCCACTTCAAAAAAAATTTCAATGACAGAGTTTGATGTTAATAAGCATAGGTTCAAGAATTAAGTGGTATTACAGTGTCAAGAGAATATATGAGGTGTGTTGGAAACAATGGTATTTCCTATGTGAGTGCCTCAGAGAAGGGTGACATAGTTATTAGAAATTCCAAGGCCTGGTCCTCTTGGAGTTATACAACCCATAGGTTTCTTACCTATATATGGAAAAAAGTGTACATCTCTTTGGATGGAGGGAAGGCTTTGAAGATGTGACGGGAAGAAAGAGATATTATTTTAGTAGTATTTATAGAATTTTTGTCAAGCAAGTAACCCTTTTTTATAAACACATCAAAACAAATGTGTTTCATGATGAAGATGATCAGTCATCTTGAGTGAAGTAAAGCTAGGCAAAGAGAACACTTCTGCAGAAGTTAAAAGGAATTTCTTGAGGACAACAGAGAATGGATTGAAAGAAGGGGAACTCCGGAAATAGGTGGAAACAGGCAAGGTGTATGTTAGTGAGTGAAAAACTCCTGTAGATGAGAGGGGCCAAAAGACTTCAGAAAAGTATGCCTAATGCTTATAATATATTTGTTTACTCAAAAGGCCATGTAGTTCCCTCATCATCTCACACATTCTGTAAAGGTTGTGTGAACAATATTCTCAAATAATTAAAGAAAAACTGTTTTTCATAACTGAGTTGACATGGTATGAAAAGAAGATAATGTATCTTCTAAAGGCAAAATACAAATTTGATCAAATTTAGCAAAACTAGAAAAT
Organism: Homo sapiens; assembly: GCF_000001405.40. Lineage (NCBI taxonomy): Eukaryota > Metazoa > Chordata > Mammalia > Primates > Hominidae > Homo > Homo sapiens. The sequence continues at coordinate 71,277,425 of NC_000013.11, read as the reverse complement.
AGAGCAAGAAGTGGAAATAAGAGCACATGTATTTGGAAACTTACAGACATTTTGGAAATGAAGTGGTATCAGAAATGGGATAGATAATGATCAATTTTATTTACAGATAAAAAACGATTATGCCCTAAATCAAAACCTCTGTAAAGTATGATGTCAACCAAAATAATGTTTGTTAGCTGTTGTAACAGATAACCCCACATTTTAGTGGCTCAATACAATAAAAGTCCATTTTTAAAATTTCACCACAGTTCAAACTGGGTTGGGAGGCTTTTGGGGTGGCTTTTTTGGTAATCAGTGACTCAAAGACCCTGAAGTCCTTCCATGAGGTGGTGTCTCTGCAACCTCAGCATCCTGAGATTTTGGTTATGTGAGTGACAGATCAAAAGACTAGAGAATATGTAACCTTTAATGAGTAGGCCTAGAGCATATACATCAGTTTTGCTTACATTCCATTAGCCAGAACCCAATTATATAGCCCTAACTAATGGTAAGTGAATATAGGAAAATGTTTTCCAGAGTGGCCTTCTGGTTTCTGCCACAGTAATGCCTACATTTATTGCTATATCAGTTGGAGTGAGAAAAAGAGAGGCTGGAGTTTGGGAGTACAAGAAGCTAAAAGATCCACTTGTTACAATTTCATTAAAAACATACTTTGAGTTTTGTGTTTCTAGCTTCTGGATTATAATGGACAGAGCTTAAGGTCCAAATTTTAGTTAATTCCTAAGGAAACCCATTTTTAAGCCTAAATACAGGTGTCAATTCACTTTAAAAATACGTAGATATTTTGAGGAATCTTTTCTAAAAGGCTAGCATGAGTGTTTCTCTAGCATGACAAGAGGTTGGAAGACAACATTGCTTTGAACACCAGTGGGACCAGTTGTAAGCCAGAAAGTAAGTGGGACACAATTGCCATATTGAGATTGGCCCATATCCCAATATACTAAATAAGTTCAGACTCACTAGCACAGTGGAAGTTAAGGTAAGAGATAGAAAGTATCTCTACTGTTTTCTTTCTTGGCTTTCTTTTAGACTAGTTAACTTTAGGCTAAGTGTATCTCTCTCTCTCTCTCTTTTTTTTTTTTTTTTTTGACAGAGTTTCTCTCTCGTTGCCCAGGCTGGAGTGCAGTGGCGTGATCTCGACTCACGGCAACTTCCGCCTCACGAGCTCAAGTGATTCTCCCGCCTCAGCCTCCTGAGTAGCTGCGATTACAGGCGCCCATCACCATGCCGTATTTTTAGTAGAGACGGGATTTCTCCATATTGGTCAGGCTGGTCTCAAACTCCCGACCTCAGGTTATCCTCCCTCTTCAGCCTCCCAAAGTGCTGGGATTACAGGCATGAGCCACCGTGCCCAGCCAGCTAAGTGTATCTCTTTTGTATGACCTAGCATAAGTTCCAATAAATAGATAATAAATACCAATATTTTTAGTTTTCCTACTATTTTTCATAATACTACAGATTCAAGAGCTATTCAATACTTCAAAGTATATCAGAAGACTGTTTACTCAAATGTTTACTGCCTTATAAAGTCTACTAATTCTGCAGCCTAGGATACTTAATCTCTCAAATTTATATCAGCTACTCACAAATTCCTTATTTTAGGATATCTTAATTGTGCCAACCCACTTCCCTTTTCCAGATTATTTATCAGTTATCATGTTTTTAGTTGCAAGCAACAGAGGACATATCTAAAATGGCTTCAGATTGGAATAGCTTTTTCTCACCTAATAAGCATTCCAGAGAGAGGTGGTTTCAAGGCTGCCACAAGTCTGAGTTATCCTCTCTAATATTAAGTTTTCTTCCCTCTTAATGAATTTGAATGGTCAGAGCAAATCTAAGCAGCACAGCTTCAGATTACAATATCAAAACAGAATTTGAGGAAATATATTTTCCCTTGGACCACATTTTTTTTTTTTTAATTAGAAAAGCTTCCCAGCAAGCCACCTAAGTCGCTGTCTGTGAAATTTCGTTGGCAATAGTTGAGTCATTTGTCCATCCCTTAGATGAAAAGGGGAAGGCAGAAAATATAAGCATTTTAACACTTTCAGTTTCTATAAGAAGAGGCAAAATCTCACAGCAAAGTGAGCTGTGAATTGCTTTTGGGTAAACAGATAACAGTGTCTGTCATAGCTCTTAAATGGATAACTATCAGATGGCATTTTGTTTCCTGATAGGAAGCTATGAACAGACAAAATTTCACCCAACAAGTGATTCAAATCACTTACGCTGCCTGCAGCTGAACGTTAATAAGAATGTCCATCATGATATACAAGGGACTGAACACCATCTTCTGCAGTTACCTAGCTGGTTTGCATATCTTCCTGTCCATGGTAGTAGTGAAATATAATCCTGCCTCGCTGTGTTTTAGACCATTGACTCTATTGGGTTTGTTAACTCCCTGATCATAATTTTAAGAAAATGCTTAAGTAACTTTGTCTAGAATAAGCATGCTTGAATTGCATTCTGAGAGATTAAGGTTTAGTTCAGTGTGGTGGACATCTGTCCTTGTTGGCTCCTTTTATTAGCATATTTGTCTCCCTTCTAGGCAATACCTGATTGCGTGTAGTCATGGTTAGAGGCAGTGGTCACATTCAGTAAGAAAGGTAGAGAAGTCAGATCTTCACTCTCTCCTGGCACATGTGGCCACTTACATGATTTAGAGTCAGTCTATCAAACTTTCTTTCCTGTGAATTTGAATCTTTAATGAGTGACATGCAAAAAAGGGAATGGTGAGCTGCCATATTTATTATAGTAGTTTGTGTGGAATCAGTAGAATTTAAGTGTGCTTGCTCTGATTTTTGTTTTCTGGCCTTCTTTTCCTGAGCGTTTTTAAAACGCTCTTCTCCATTTTTTGTTGTTGTTAATTATGTAAGCATCAGAGCATGCTTTCAATAAATTAAGATCTGTTGAGTTTTTGCTTACGTTAGATGAGGCAAATTCCTGTACTTGTATTTAAACCCCCAAACTGTTACAGTCATGTATTGATACTCAGCACCAGCCCCCAATCTGCAGCTTCAAGGGTGCTCAAATAATAAGTAGAAGTAGACCCAAGATTCAAATCCACACCAAAGTTCTGTGTTCTAAGAGATTAATAATTTCCTAGTAGGTTAAGAGATAGCTTAACTATATATAACTGGATAAGAAATATTCTAGGCCGGGCGCGGTGGCTCACGCCTGTAATCCCAGCACTTTGGGAGGCCGAGGCGAGCGGATCACGAGGTCAGGAGATCGAGACCAAGGTGAAACCCCGTCTCTACTAAAAATACAAAACGTTAGCCGGGCGTAGTGGCGGGCGCCTGTAGTCCCAGCTACTCGGGAGGCTGAGGCAGGAGAATGGCGTGAACCCGGGAGGCGGAGCTTGCAGTGAGCCGAGATCGCGCCACTGCACTCCAGCCTGGGTGACAGAGCGAGACTCCGTCTCAAAAAAAAAAAAAAAAAAAAAAAAAAAAAAGAAATATTCTATATTCTGTCTTTTTAGGTCCAAAGATTTACCCTCAAGATTCATTATGCTCCGAGGGATTGTGATTGTTAAGTGTGGAAATGACTGTATAGAGGAGCTCTGGAAAACAAAGTTATTTGGGAAACGAGAATAGTGCATAGACAGGAAAAAGGTATAAATATAGCCATGTTATTACATGTCAAGTTTACATGAGAATCAGACAGGAATACAAGAGAAAGAGACCTAATGCCAGCTAGCCTAATATCTCTATTCTATCAAAAAAAAAAAAAAAAAAAAAAAACAGTTTCAGGCACTGTGGAAGAACTTTGATGCATGCTAATTCATTTAAATTATCATTATCTAAGGCATGCAAAAGATTTTTAAAATGTCAGTTTAAAAATTTACAAAGTAGAAAATTAAGACTCATGTTTAACGACAGTTCCAATGCCATTTACTCTAACAAGAGGCAGATTGTAAAATAAAGCCCTTATCTATATACTCTCGGTCATGTTTTTGCCAGAATCCATACACTTCATTTCAAAATGGTCACCAATGCCCTGTTTTCAAAGAGAAGAAAAGGTTAGCTTCTTTTTTTCTCACACAAAAAGGCTAATTTCTGGCAAGATGACTGGATAAAATACTTTAATAGATTCATGTCAATACCGCAATCCAAAGGAAACTGAAAGCATAAATGTTTGATTTTAGAAATTAACTCTAACTACAACAAATTGAACTTAGAACAATTTTATTCATAAGTAGTTCAGGTTTCCCTAGCACATAGGATTAATTCTGAGTAATGATGTCCAATAAATTCTATGCAATTAATAGAGTTAGTACAGCTGGGATATTGGTACAAAATGTTACAACAGATGGAGGATGTGTATACTTTAAACAGAGGACAATTGGCAAGAAGAATAGTTAGTAAAAGCAACAGAAAAATATATAAACAGTGGTCCACTAATCATGTTAAGATGGAAAATAAACTGAACAGTCTTATTGATGTGTTAATGAACACTGGACTGGGGCAAAGATAAAATGTTTGTTCAAAGGAAAAGATTCTAGGAAAAATCAAGAGATTTATTATTGTTTTTAAACAAGATCTTTAGAGGTTAAAGAAAAAGTGCATTTTATGGACAGTCTCAAAATATAGGCCTAATTTCAAAAATAAAGTGATAAATGTAATATATGTGGTTATATATATATATAATATGCAATTATTTGTCTTATACTTGGTATTTCAGATTAGATATTAAAGGCTTATTTAAAGCTTTAGTCCAAATGAAGATTTTGCTATAAAAGTCAACTCAAGCACAATACGATTTAAACATATAAAATAAAGTTAGCTGAAATACAAAGCAGTTTTTAATCACTTGTTTGTAGTTCCTTTTTTTTAACCAAAAATGTTTTGCATAGACTTTTTGTCAATACTGTTTAAGGCATATTACATGTATCATTTAACCCTCACAATAACACTAAAGGCACATAATACATTCTTAACTTTTTTTTAAAGGTGAAAATACATGAACTAGAGTGGGCCTGGGTCACTGAGTTTGTAAATACTAGGATAGGAATCCAATACATTTTTCTAAGGTATAACTCTCATAATGGGTCTTACTATGTTTGCTCTGTAGAGGAAACACAGGACAAGGATCTAGGGCTCTAACTTAAACAATTACACCATTCTTAATAAATCACCTACACATTCAGATTAACAAGGTTGTTTTTTCAGTATAAGTCTATTGAATTAGTTGTCCCCTTCCAATTATTCGAAGTTCTCTTATAAGAGTTCTAAGTTCTCGAATAAGATCATAATACTTCTATAATTTTAGAAAAACAAAAGAAATAACTAATAGTCAAAAAATCCAGATGGCACTTAATAGTTGATTAACTAAGAGGCAAAATAATAAATACAATAGATGTTAATTGAGTCAAGAGATCATCTTGCTTAAGTTCAAGTAAATAACATAAAGAGGTATATAAACACATGATTTACTTGGAAAAATACAATTTTTACATTTGGTCCAAAAGAGATGGAAAAAGAAACTAAACAAATTCATTTATTGCCACTGAGTTTAAGAAAATAAAAAATAAAATAAAACCAAATTCATTACTCAAAAACAAATGGACAAGTTATACAATAGCTAATTAAAAAGCCCAATAGAACAAAACATCTCTGTAGATTAATTTTATAAAAAATATAAAGAACAGATCCTCATGCTATTTGAAACTTTTTCTTTTGAGACAAGTTCTCTCCCTGTTGCCCAAGCTGGAGAGCAGTGGCACAATCATAGCTCACTGTAACCTTGACATCCTAGGCTGAAGTGATCCTCCCACTTTAGCCTCCCAAGTAGCTGGAATTACAGTTGTGTGCCACTAAGCCTGGCTAATAAAAATAAATTTGTATGTGTGTAGAGATATCTTACTATGTTCCCAGATTGTCCCAAACTGCTGGCCTCAAGTGATCCTCCTGCCTAAGCCTCCCAAAGCACTAGGATTACAGTCATGAGCCACCATGCCTGGCCTTATTTGAAATTTTTAAGAGCACAGTGAATGAAGGACAAAAGGAACCTATAATCACTTTTTACAAATGCAGCATTCTATTTATATCCAAAGCTTACAATTAGAGTAACACACACAAAATTAGACTTATAAATGAGATATACATATATAAAAAAGAATTTTAAAAAGTATATCTGTGAATAGACTGTAGAGAATATTAATGTGAACAAATGGGATTTATATCAGAAATAGAAGTTTAGTTCAAAATTAGAAAATTTACTAAGGTATGTCAACATGACAAAATGTCAAGGCAATAAAATGATACTTTCTATGGATGCTGATAAGGCATTTGATAAAACTAAACATTAACACATGATTAAAAAGTGAATCTTGAAAATAAACATCCAGATTGTCTCTACAACATGACAGAAAATATGCCAGACAAAAAATCATCTTAAAACTTTTCTACTTAAGTCACGACCTTGAGAAGCAGGCCCACTATTATCATTATTATTCAAACATTTTCTGGAAGTATGAACCAATGCAATTAATCTACACAGAGTATAGAGAAATATGACACTTTTAAAGAAGAAGGCAAAATCCTTTTGCCAACAATATTTTATATTTCTGACAAAATACAATTATTTGAAAAAATAGAAACAAAAAGAAGTATGCACAGTGGCTACTTAAAAAGCAGTCATATATAAGCCAAAAATCAGTTAAAAAATGTAACTGAAGAAGAGTTTCCACTCACAGGAACAAGACATATATGTAAAACATCTTAGGGGAAAATAAGAACTTTGGAAGTGCTAAATAAATAAAACTTTTATGCTACTGAGGGTCTTTAATCAAGATTTTAAGACATATATCCCATTCATGGAAACACTCAATACTGTGAAGCTATCAATCTCTCTAATTAACATAGAATCAATTTCAAATAACAGCATCTCTTGAAAAATAGATAATCAATTTAAAAAGTGTGTGTAAAATAAACATTAGGGAATAATCATGAGAATTTTAATATACAATTAATCTATTTATTAAAATATATGTTAAAGTTACATCAATTAAAATAGTTTGATATTATGACATTAATTGACTAGTCTCTTGTCCCTTCAATCTATTTTGTACATCACTAAGAGGTTTAATTTGTCTTCAAATTAAGGAATCCACAAGCTGGTATATTTACTAAATGCACCAAATGATCTGTCCTCTAGGAAGTATTAGAGAAAGGCTAGCATTGGGTTCCATTTTGTGGATGTCATACAGGTTGTTAGCTTTCTGTTGTCATCTTCATCAGGGAATATAACTTAATTTATTAGGGTTAAACTTTTTAGTCAAAAACTCTTTCCAATTATTCTTCCCTGGAGTAACAGTTTCATCACCATAATTACATTTCAGTTGTTCTAGAAACTCTTTAATCACCAACAGTATATTTCTATTATGAGATACGGTTTCCTGAACTCATCCTTTATATTGCTTTACAGCCTTGATAAACGGAGATTTTACATAAGACTACAAGTAGGAGTAAGGAAGACAGTCACCTCAGCCAAGCACAGGGTGGTTTAGAACAGGAGTCCTGTCCGTGGCCTGTTAGGAACTCGGCCCACAGCAGGAGGTGAGTGGTGGGCAAGCAAGGGAAGCTTCATCTGCATTTACAGCCATTCCCCATTACTCACGTTACTTCCTGAGCTTCACCTTCTGTCAGATCAGTGGTGACATTAGATTTTCATGGGATCCCAAACCCTATTTTGAACTGAACAAGTGTGGGATCTAGGTTGTGCGCTCCTGTGAGAATCTAATGCCTGATAATGTGTTACTGTCTCCCATAACTCCCAAAAGGGACCATCTAGTTGCAGGAAAATAAGCTCAGGGCTCTCACTGATTGTACATTATTGTGAGCTGTAGAAATATTTCATTATCTATTATAATGTAATAATATAGAAATAAAGTGCACAATAAGTGTAATGTGCTTGAATCACACTGAAACCGTGCCCTCCACGCCCACCTCCCCATCCATGGAAAAATTGTCTTCCACAAAACTGGTCTCTGGTGGCAAAAAGGTTGGGGACCGCTGGTTTAGAACATTGTTCAGTATCTTTATCTCAAGACTTTGACAGCACCTTAGGTGACTGAACTGGAGAAGGGGTAGTGGTTCCTTCAGAAAGCAGTCCCACTTGGTTCCCTCGTTATCCTCTATTGTTATAGGAACTCAGTGACTCTCTTTCTCAATTAATCAAAATGTGTATTGGTTTCTGTGGTTGTTACTGGTTGGTTAACTCTCTTTGTCATCAGGGTAACTCCACTTGAGAGATAATGGTTTTGTTAGTCTCTACAGTGTCTGTTGGACATAGCCTTTTAACAAAATATTTCAGACTGTAGGTTGATTCCTTTGACATGTTCTGTCTAAGTAGAAAATATTCATGAGGAGGATTGTGGAACCTGGCAGACTTGCTCTCCCCATAAAAACATGAGAACTTCTATCTCAGGGAAGAGTGTTGAATGCATCCATTGTTGCAATGACTGATGAAAATTAATAACTTACAGTACCTTTTATTAACTATCATTACAATTTCATTCTTACTAGTTTTTTTTTTTCTAGAAAACACCATAATTTATTTTGGAAAGTGCTTGCAATCAACCCTGTATATTGCACAACAGATTACAAGTTTTATGCCTCAAACTTTTTTCTCTGGCATTTTTAGATGAAGTAAATTTTTATTTTCATAGATTAACTTTAGTGTTCACATATGGGTTACTTCTACAAGGTAAGCATTGTTTTAATTTTTATCCCTCATTAATGTGATAATTTTATATAGTAAAAAATATATAATTAAATTTTATCTAAATTAATACTATAAAACATATATGCTTTATACATATAGGGTAGCAATTTGGTAGCTTTTTTTATTTCAAATAACTTTAATTTTATTTATTTATTTATTCAACTTTTATTTTAAGTTCCAGGGTGCATGTGCAGGATGTGCAGGCTTGTTACGTAGGTAAAAGGGTAACATGTTTTAATAGGTAGAATTACTCATTTATTGTATTAACCATTCCAAATCTAGAAAATCTTTTTTTACAAAAATATCTGTACGTATGTACATAAGCATATGCTTAAATATACAGGTAATTCATTGTGTAAAATGGCAGAATAGGAAACAAATTAAATATCTGCAAGTGGAAGCAGGTAATTGTAACCACATCCTAGAAATCTATGTAGGTGCTAAAATAAATTCGGTATATTTATAAAAATATCACCATTACAGAGACCCCTACGTACACATATATATGAAGATAATCGCCTCTTCATACTGTACTTTTTAAATGATTGCTTTTGGGGTTTGCAATATTAAGGTGTGGGAGGAAGGCATGTGATGATAAACTTATTTTTTATCCACTTATGATGTTAAAAATATTTTTATGAGAAGGTAGTCACCAAATTTGTATAGATTTTAAAACTTTTCATAATAGTATAGCATACCTAAAGAAAAGTGCACAAACTATAAATTTTCAGCTTGTTGAATTTGCAAAAATCACGAGTACACCCATGTGTCCAGAACCTGGATCAAGAAACGGAACAGATGTTCCTCTCATGACCCTTCCTAGGCAATATCCCCAAAATGTTAACCACTGTCATGATTTTTAATACCACTGATTAGTTTTGCACCCCCCCACCTCCTTTTGTTTTGAACCTTATAGATGGTATCTTTCAGCATGTGTGCTTGGTCTGGCTCTTTATGCTGTTATATTTAGCACAAATTCATTCAATCTTCATACTATGTAATATTCAGTTTATGAAAATACTACCCTTTATCCATTTAACTGCTAACGAACATTGGGTTGTTTCCAGTTTCTGGCTATTACAAATAGTGCTGCTGTAATCATTAGGTATCTTTCTTTTACTGAACATATGGATACATTTCTGTCGGCTTTATACCTATGAGTGCAATTGCTGGGTCATAAGATATGCATTTGTTCAGCTTTCATAGATCCTAGAAAATGGTTTTCAACGTGGTTTTTCAATTTAAACTCCCACCAGTAAAGTATGGAAGTTACAGTTGGTACATATTCTTGCCAATACTTGGTATATTTTCAGTCCTTTTCATTTCAGCTATTGTGGGAGTTGTGCAGTGATTTTATTTTTGGTTTGAATTTTCACTTCCTCTATGATAAAGAAATTAAAGGACCTTTTTATTCATTTAATAGCAATTTAGAAAACCAGTTTCTGAGGAATGTGTTCAAGTCTTTTGTCCACTTTCTTTAGTGGTGGCTCCTTTTCTTATTGATTTATACCATTTATTTACATATACTAAGTGCTTTATCTGATATATGTAATAAAACTATTTTCCTACTCTAAAGATTGATTTTTAAATTATATTAGTAGTGTCTTTTGTTAAACAAAATTTTTAACATTAGTGAAATTAATTCTGACAACTTTTTGTTCCTTTATAATGACTCTATTTTGCATATAATTTTAAAAATCATTTTTTAAATTTAAGGATATAGAGATATTCTATTTTTTTTCTAAATGTTGTGTTAGGTTAACTTTTCTGTTCAAATCTGCAAACCACATAGAATTAACTTTTATGTGTGGCGTGAGATCAAGATTCATTTTTTTTCTGTATGAATATCCAATTGACAGAATCCATTTATTTAAAAGTCCATTATTTTTTCAAAATACTATGTTTTAACATCTGTCTTAAATCAAGCGACCATAAATATTGGTATATTTCTACACTATTTACTCTACTCTACTGGTCTTTTTGAATTTTTCTGGTATAGTAACAAACTGTCTTGATTGCTATCACTTTAAAGTAAGCCTTTTTATCTGGTAGTGGAATTTTATGATTTGATCTTTTTCAAAATGTTTTGACTCTTCTTGAAATTTTGAATTTCAAAAGAAATTTTAGAATTAGATTTTTATAAAACTTATTGGATTTTTATTGGGGATTGAATTGAATATACAGATCATTGAAGAGAACAAGTATGTTCCTTCTAACATGTCAATGTAATATAAACTTCCATTTGTTTAGGTCTTCTTTAATTTCAGATATAGTTTTCAATATATAGGGCTTGAACATCTTTTTATTATATTTATTCATACGTGCTCAATGTTTATAAGCTACTGTAAATAGTATTACTTTTTACACTATTTTCAATTTGTTGCAGAAAATATACATATATATGCAGAACATATATATATATACTATTACATATATTGACATCATATTCTGTGACATGACTAAATTAATTTATCAATTTTAACCATTTATATATCCATTTGAGTGTCTACTTATACAATCACGTCATCTGTGAAAAAAGCAATTTCATGTCTTGCTTTCAAACCCTTAAATATTTGATTTATTTTTCCTTACCCATTGTATTGATTAGAACCTTTAGCACAATGTTAGAAGTATTGATAGTAGCTATTTTTATATTATTTCTGAACACAAATAGACAGTTATTAATATTTCACTGGTACTTATGCTCTTTTCTGTAGTGTGTTTTTCCTCCTTATTTTCAGGACAGCAAGGTTTATTTCTTTCATTCCCAGACTCCAGGCAATAAATACAATTAGAAGGGCCTCGTAGATAATATTACTTTCTGATATATTTTGGTAATAGATTGACTGCCACTGTTAACTTTGTTATGTGTTTTTGCCTTCTTTGGTTTCATGAGTATAACAGTAGGAAATTGAGAGAAACTATATTAGGGATAGACAGTAAGAAGACATTTGAGAATGAAAGATTAAATAGTAATGATAATAAGAACATGCCATTTATCATAAAAACAAAATTGTTCACTAAGGTTTTCAAAACAATTTGGTTATGCCTTTTGTCAAATTATTTTATAAGATTTTAGTTTCTAATAATAATGAAAAGTAATAAATGACATTCATATGTATAGATATTTAATACTATTGCTCCCATAAAGCGATATTTCTCCCTTCAATCACAACATTGTAAGCTACTTTTGTAGGAGAAATCAATGTATTTTCTATTTTTTCAGAGATATACTATTTGTTAAAAAAAAATAAGAAGGAAGAAGGAAGAAGAAGAAGGAGGAGGAGGAGAAGGAGGAAGAGGAGGAGGAGAAACAGAAGAAGAAGAAGAAAGAGAAGAAACAGAAGAAGAAGAAACAGAAGAAACAGAAGAAGAAGAAACAGAAGAATCAATAGCAGCAGCTACTAATTGATTGAAATCTAAGCCACCTACTCAGAATATGGCTACATTTTATGTTTTTCCCAGCAGGTTGGTAGGAAGCAGCAATAGTTATCATTTATTATTTCTGATATTATATGTAAGCATTTCCTAGACACTTATCAGTACCACTGTATAATTAAAAATTTTTATTTTTCCATTTAAGTATTTACATTTTCAAAATATAGTTTCTACTCTGCTGAGATTTTTTAATCTTTTCTTTCATTACAGTGTGTATATTCTTTTATATTCTTGAGCATAATTATAAAAACGATTTAAAAATCCTTGTCTGCTAAGTTCAACATCTGAGTCATCCCATGATTTGTCTCTATTTATTTTTTTAAAATCTTATTTATTTCCTCAAAGGTCACAGAATTGTGAATTGTATTCTGGATACGACATATTGCAGAAACTTGGGATTCACATATATTCCTCCAGAGAGTTAACTTATTATTATTTTGTTACTGGTAATAATTAAAACAGCCAAGTTTTGAAGAATAATTTTGTACAGTAGGAAGAATTCAAGGTTATTTGTAAAATATTATTTCTCTAATAAACTTACAAATTTCCTATGCTTTGGGGAGTAGTAGATAAAGAAATGAGTTTTGAGTTAGCAAGTAATTTACTCATGTAAAGCCAATAATTCAGGTAACTAATGCCTATTTGTCTCTCTGAAGAAACAGACTATAAAGTGAAACAAATAAGCAAGCAGCAGTAATAACAAAAACAGTTTAAACCTCTGTCCTAATTGAATTTTAAATGCAATATGAAATATAAAGATAGATAAAAACTAATCTTAAAGTAAAATACAAAGAACTAGTAGCTCAGTCAGTTTTAACACGCAAAATGACTCTTCAAATTGCTGCTGTATACCAGGCTATACTCATTTAATAACCTACTGTTTGATAAAGTACAAGGTTTTTTTTAATGTTCAAGAAAGAGATGGACTAAACTGTTTATATTTGCTGTTGTTAATTTTGGAATGTCTCCTAGCTCTCACTTAGTGACATTAGTTTCCTTCCATCTGTTGGAGAACTAAATAAAATATGAGCTGCTGTCCATTATGCTTCGTAGAAATGGCAAATGCGAACATTTTGCCCATTCCTTTCAGTGATAAATATTGTGTCTTTTTACTTTTTAGCTCATGTGTTTATTTTGAACAAATTTCAACATTTAAATTAGGCATTGCATTTTAATTTCTAAAATGAATTGTTAGTTATTAATAAGTAAAATTACCAAATAATATTTAATATCAGATATTCTTAATTGTTTTATAGTGTTTGAGATTTTAGCAAGCCAATAAATTAACCCATGGAAGGAAGACCTTAAAAAAACGGATTTGTTTTCTCTTTACTACCTTAAAATTAAAGAAATTCATAAATACATCATTGGAAACATCCAATTACTATGTAAGAGAAAACAATCTGCAGCTAAACACATTAAAAAGGTAATTCAGATGGTGATTGGTGCTATAGTGACAATAAAGTAAAATCAAGTGATAGAAACATTCTGGGGTAGGTTATTTTTGATAGTATTTTAAGAGAATGCCTGGATCGTAATTGAGCTAAGTTCCTGGATTACTTAGAACAAATGTACATCTCCTGTAACAAAGTCACAACTGAGTGATAATAGCTTAAACCCAATTTTCACTGTCATGTACCAGCCCTTTCATTAGCTATCCACGTTGTTGAGGCTCACTTTTCTTCAATCTTTTGGTTCTTCTCTATCTACCTCCACTCGCCCTCTTCCCCACCCAGAATATTGTCTTCATCTTCACATCAATAGCATTCAATATTAGATCTAAATGATTCACATTCTATAGTTAACAGTAATTTATTATAGATTTTCAAATAACTAGAAGACAGATTTCTTAATGTCCCCAACATAAGAAATTATAAATGTCTGAGGTGATGGGTATGCTAATTACCCTGATTTAATCATTACACAGTGTATACATATACTGAAATATTACGCTATACCCCAGAAATATGTACAATTATTGTGTGTTCATTAAAAATAACTTTAGAAAGGTTTTACATTCCAGGTGGAGAAGAAGGACATAGATACCATTTCAAGGGGATCCCCTGGTAGTAACGCAAATGATGACTATGTACACCATTAGCCAGCAAATAGTCACATTCACTGGTGCAAGTAAGCTGAGTAAAGGTGTCTTCATTTTGACCAGTTAAAATCCTGGGGTTCCATTATTAAGGAAATAATGAAAGAATGGACTATGGGAGACAAACAGGCTTTTACCAATTTAAATGAAGAAAAGAAGCAAACTCTGTTAAAGTTTGGGAAATAATGAAAGAATGGACTATGGGAGACAAACAGGCTTTTACCAATTTAAATGAAGAAAAGAAGCAAACTCTGTTAAAGTTTGGGAGATAGTTTTCAGACCATTATCCCTTAAACTATTTGCTCAATCAGTACCAACCCCTTTGGCTTTCCTTTCTAGAACTCTAATTATAAGACCTTGTAATATTGTCTCACTGGTGTCTGCACTCTGCTTTTTTGTTGTTTTTGTTCACTCTTTTTACTTTTTCCTGTTCTTTAGATTGGAAAAATTTCTGCTGATCTATCTTAAGTTCATTGAGTCTTTCCGTTTTTATTCCTATGTCAGTTGCTGAGCCCATGCAGTGAATCTTGTATTTATTTCTATTTGACATCTAGTTCAATTACGTAGTTTCTATTTCTCTGCTTAGAACTTCTATCTTTGCACTCATTTAAAAGTGATCAACTGTATTCCATAAAGCGTGGTAATAACTGCTTGTCTTTGCCTGATAATTTCAACACCTGTATAATATTGAGGTTGGCATTTTAAAATTATTTTTGTCCTAAAATTAGCCAGATTTTCCTATTTCTTTCTATGTCAAGTGATTTTGGGTTATATCTTGGACATTTTCAATATCATATTGTAAAATTTAATTCTGGCAAAATCCTCAGAAGATTATGTACATTTTTTTCTTATTTGTTTTAGCAGCCAATTGACGTGGGTAGTCTGAGATCAAAAGTTTTGATTTGCCGTCTGTGAAAAGTGCTTCTAACTTCAGTTCAGTCTATACTATGCTGTTTGAATTTCCTTGTGCATGTGTACTCAATGATTTGTCTGTATACTACAGTTCAGTTCTCAAAGCTTTCATCATGCTTATTGATGTCTATTTTCTCAATACGCAGGTGAGGATGAGAGTAGAGGTTTTGTCAACTCAGGTACAGAATTTGGACAGTTTCTCCTCTCACCTCTCCAAATTTTCTAGCCATTCTATGGTTCTCCGAGTTTCCTTTTCCCAGTATTTTACCTTGTAAACTAAAGTTTCTCTCACTTTTAGCTCCTTCTGCCTTTGTACAGTTTTTCAAAATTATGGCCACTTCCAGACAGAAGGATGGAAAAGAGAAACAACATAATGATAATCTCCACATTCTTTGGACCACTGAGGTTCCATTTTCTATTTCTCTGGATAAAGAGGTAGACTTTTTCTTGAACTTTTAGATACTCTGTAAGGAGAGCAGGGTAGTTTCATGACTGGGGCTGCCTCAGGACAACGATGAAATAGAAGAGGAAAAGAAAAAAGATTTCCTCCTCCCCAACAAACCACTCTCTGGCCTGTAGAGGTTCTTTTATCCTGGACTTCTGCCTTGAAAAGCAGAGTTTTCCTTCTAATTTTTACTGTCCACCTCTACTGTCCACTCTTACCTAAAAACCAAGAGATAAAGGGAGGGTGGAAAAAAAACCAAAAAAGTAAAGTTACTGCCTTTCCTTTCTCCTACAAGTTTGATTTCGCTTCCTAATACATCTGCTATTACTTATTTTACAGAGTCCCAATGGAATTTCTTCTTGTATTCTGTCCAGAGATTTTGTTGCAATCACTAAGAAAGATGGGTTGTAATGAGCTTACTTTATCTCAGTTATCAATGGAAGTCTTACTAATTCTTGATATTTTATCTTTAATAATTTATTCTCCATGCTACATTTTTTTGGTTTACATTTCTAGCAGATAGCCTACCAAGTATATTTCTTGGCTTCAGTGAGAAGAAGGAGATTTGACATATTTGAGTAGTAGAGGGAAAAAAAAATGAGGAAATCTAATATAGATTATACTTACTGTAGACCTATGTAGACCTAACTGTATATTTAACTTGCTTTATACCCATTTTGTAGGGACCGTGTTGAAATATGCTATCAGTTACTAGGGTTTCACTAATTTGTGATATCTGTTTATGATGAATAAAATGGTGGCATTTTGCTTATATCTCAAATTATTTATTAATTTAATTTAACCCTGAGTTGATATGGATAATGTTTCCTCAATTTTGACTTCTCATACTGTTTTCTAGAGGTGGCTTACTTTATACCTTCATAGAAGAAATACGCAATGATAAAAATAAATTAAATGGTTCTGCCGTTTAATAAAATATTTACCAAACAACATTTCTGCACTTACTTCACACTTATGTAACCTCTTCATATTTCTTTAAAATATCATTATGCTACCTGGCACAAAAAGTGCATAGCGCCATGCAAAATAGACAATAGAAAAATAGAATAATGCAAAGTGGACAACTTGTAAAAGTTTTAAAATAGTAAGTTAAAGTCCTATTGCAAAATTCTTGTGCATTTTTGCATTTTGAAGGATACTTTCAAAGCTAACCTTTCTTTATTCCTTCTCTACATTGTAACTATGTGTGAAACATTTTGATACAATGAGGAGGAACATTGTCTAAACAATTACTTTTTCCTGTTAGTAAACTTTGTATGACTCTGTTACTCATAATCTAAATTTGGACAAGCAATGGACATAGCAGACATTCAATACTATGCTGGATGGATATAACCCAATCTATATAGCAGTATATTTCCTGGAATTGTTTTCAAGAAAAATCATGCATTTTTCCATGAGCAGTAGTTCTCATGTACAATGTTAACCTCAGAATTTACAGGTCAGGCATTCCTGTCCTCTCATGTCATTGATACTGCTTAAAATCACAGATTGAACTAAGTTCAATAAACTTCCGGTGAGAAAACCAGACAAATGTTTAAGAAATAATCTAAATTTGTAACTTTAAAATTATGTCAATTAGTAAACAAAAAGTTTTAATTTAATACATTTTATTAAATGCCTACTCAGTGTAAGGATCTGTATAGGTGTAACAAAAGAAGACAGTTATATAGTCGTGTCAAAATGAAAATACTTGTGCTCAAGAAAGTTATAATTTTGTAGGAGTATAAAAAACAAGAATGTAATCTAATGAATAGTGGTTGCATATGAAAATTAATATTTATTGAAAGTTTACTCTATGTCTGGTTCTGATTTCTAGACTTCAAAGATCTTCTATTAATGTGAGGTATGTAACACTTTCCCCATAATACAAATAAAAATGCAGGCTCAGAAAAGTTTAATATTTTCCAAAATAGATTCCATATTCAAATTCCAATTTGAAGCCTGAGAAGCACTATGTAGCTTCTAACAATATTTTGGGATACTTACCATAAGAGTTGCAAACAAAATGACATAGAATTGAGAAAAGGACAAGAGTGCTCCTTGTTTGATCACAAATAGTCTGTGAAAGTGGTAGCACATAAGACTTATTGTAGGACTTCTTTAGAGAGTGGAGGAGAGGAGATTATATCTAGCTCATCTTCAACTTTCTAAGTTGAACCCAGAAATTGAGAAGTTAAAGATTTGTTGACCGGGCGTGGTGGCTCAAGCCTGTAAGCCCAGCACTTTGGGAGGCTGTGGTCGGTGGATCACGAGGTCAAGAGATCGAGACCATCCTGGCCAACATGGTGAAACCCTATATCTGCTAAAAATACAAAAATTAGCTGGGCATTGTGGTGCATGCCTGTAGTCCCAGCTACTCGGGAGCTTTATCAAGATATCAAGATAAATCATAATGCATTAGGTAGAATAACATGGGAAAGAAAGAGTGATGGGACCAATCTAGGTAGAATATGACTATTAGAATTCAGGCAAGATGATATTAATAAACAGACAAATGTGAAGAATATTTGAGAACAGGATCTATGGGATTTTATAACTAGTTAACTATATTTCATAGAATGGGTAGAAGAAGATGTTCATTAAATAGTAAAGTTTGGGTTTTTGTAATTGATGAACAGAAGCACCCTGAGAGAAAAAGGGAAAACAAAATAAGTGGCTTTGAGAATGTCATGTTTTTAGTATTAGGTACGTTCGGTTTGAGGTGAGGCTGTAGTACCGCTGTGCGTTTATCTAGTAAAACAATGGAGACCCTTTTGGGTTTGGCTCAAGATCTAGGCAGAGCCAAGGCATGCCAATATGGGAGGCATCTGTGGAAAAATTATCACTGAAACTCCTAAAGTGAATGGAATCACCCATGAAATAAGTGGGGAGGTAGCAGGGGAAAAAAACTGTAAAAAGCACCTTAAAATCAGGATTCCAGAAATAAAATAACAAAGTCAACAAAAAAGAAAGTAAAAAACTTTTATACACAGAAATACATTTAAACAGGATGGATTCAAGAAGCAGAAAAATAACGGTACCTCACTTTTTAAAAATGATACATGTGCTATTATCAGACACACACACAGCCTTCAACAGAGAGTGAATCCTCCTAACAGGCAATTGTTTCTCTGACTGCAAATAAAATTTTTATCCTGGGCATGATGGCCTTTGTCATGCTTTAAAACATTCATTGGTAGATTGAGGTATCTATGTATTGACACAATGGCTAAGAAAACCACAATGCTCGTTGCTCCGTACAGAGAGGGATTCCAGGAGATGGCTTAGGGATTCAATAACAGCATACCAGACACTTCCTAGGAACAATAAACTCAGAAGAGGTACTTGGATGTTTCTCTAGAATAATGCGGTGTTTTCTACATCATAAACCCCTTTTTCTATTATCTTTATGTAGGATTTAGTAAATTTTAAATATCTCTTTTATGGTCTGATAGTGAAGTTTGTTTTCAGTGAGACCCAAAGAAGATTATGGAATTCTCATGTATAAGTCACACAGCTAAAAGCAGGTTTGAACCTTCATTAATTGAAGGGAGAATAGCATAGAGGTTAAATGTAGACTCTGAAGACAGACAACTTAAGCTTGTATATTGGCGTGGGCACTCACCACAACTGTCTAATGATACAAAATTTTAACCCATCTCATATTTTTGTGTGTGTGTGAATGTTGAATTACATTATTCATATAAAGTGCTTGAGTAATGCTTAGTTTATGGGACATATTCAATAATTATTCACTTCCCTTGATAATAAAATTTGAATAGTTAGAAATATTTTGTTTAAAGAGGGGCTCACTTGTACATATGCCTGTGTATAATATTCCATTATTTCCACCATGAAAGTGTATAATCTTAAAGCTTTCACCTCTCCTGTTATACACCCTTTCTATTACATTTCTTATCACATTCCCCTCTTTGCAAATGTTTGGATATTTTATTGATCTCCAAAGAATTAGTTTTCATTATATCCTTAAAATCAATTTCTTTATCATTTTCTGCACTATTATTATTGTGTCTTTAACTTTATTTTTAGAGTCTGTTTTGTTTCTATCTTATTTTTTTTTACTCTTTTTGTTATTATTTAAAGCTTCGGATGTATAGTGAATTTCTTTATATCAAGTCTATTTTAATTTCAAATGAATACGCTTATGCTTTAACATATTACAAGTCCTGTTTTGGCTAGATCCTACAGGATTTTTATTAGAATACACTCTTGGTGGCATACCTTTAAAATATTTAGTAATTTCAGTTTTAATTTTATCACTACCCACTAGGTATTTGATAAGTCCTTAAAAACCAATACAGCCAATATGGGTGCATTGGGGGGTGGTGAGAGAAGATTATCCTTTATCACGTCTAATTTTCATGTATTATCATGTGACGTATAGCCTATGAAGTACTACTTAAAAAATATTTATTGAGGGCCGGGTGCGGTGGCTCACGCCTGTAATCCCAGCTCTTTGGGAGGCCAAGGTGGGCGGATCACGAGGTCAGGAGATCGAGACCATCCTGGCCGACACGGTGAAACCCCGTCTCTACTAAAAATACAAAAAAATTAGCCAGGCGTGGTGGCGGGCGCCTGTAGTCCCAGCTACTGGGGAGGCTGAGGCAGGAGAATGGCGTGAACCCGGGAGGCGGAGCTTGCAGTGAGCCCAGATCACGCCACTGCACTCCAGCCTGGGCAACAGAGTGAGATTCCGTGTCAAAAAAAAAAAAAAATTTATTGTGGTTTTCTTTCACACCCAAAAGTCAATTTTTGTGACCATTTCCTGTGTTGTGAATGGATATATTCCCGTTTGATACATCCAAAGCTTTCAGTGAATTATATTAGTTCAAAACAGTTAATTATGTTTTTGATATCTTAATATCTCTTATCTGTATTTAGTTTTGCCATAGTAGTTGGTTTATTCATATATCAATTACAGAGGGCAGTGTGTTCTAACTCTCAAAATGTATATTCTGCATCTGTCACTTGTTCCTTTCCCACATTTTTTTCCTTTTTATATTTCAAAATATGTATTGCTGAACTATACATTTTAGTAAAATGAAATAACCCAATCTCTCTAATTTTTACCTTAATCCTATTTTGCCTGAAACTATTAGTGTTAAAATTGCTTTCTATTTGTAAACATTTCTTAATATATATTTATCAAGTCACTTACATTAAAATGCTGCCATGTTGTGTATAATTTTGGTTTAGCTTTATTTCTCATATATAGAATATAAAAAGTTTTCTTTTAACAATGTTGTCTTTAACATTCTCTGCCTTTTAATAAAGGCATTAACCAAATCTTATTTATTAGGATCTGTTATTATCTGAATGTGTCCCCCAAAATTCATGTGTTGGAAACTTAATCCATAATGCAATAGTGTTGGGAAGTGGGGCCTTTTGCAAGTTGTTTCTGTCATGAAGGCTTCCCTATTATGAATGAACTAATGCACTTATAAAAGGGCTTGAGGGAGTGGCCTCTCTCTCTCCCTGTCTCTAGTCTCCCCCACTCTCTCTGTCTCTCTCTCTCGCTTTTCTGCCTTCTGCCATGTGAGCACACAGCAAGAAAGCCCACACCATATATCAGCATCTTGATCTTAAACTTCCCAACTTCCCATTTTTTGAAACTGTGAAAAGATATCTCTATTCTCATTAGATTATTCAGTCTTTGGTATTCTGCTATAACAGCAAAAAAAAAAAAAAAAAAAAAAAAAAAAAGAATTAAAGCTCATTCAAATACTTTACTATTATTTCTTCATATCTTTTTTACTGTTTTGTATTTTCATTGCTTTCTTCCTTTTATTTTTCTTCTAGTGGTTTTATATTTCTAGATTCCTTGTCATTATTTTCAATCCTTTAGCATACAATTCCGGTCATGTGTTGCTTAACAATGAGGATATGTTCTGAAAAATGCATATTTAAGTGATTTCATCATTGTCCAAACATCATAAAATGTACATATGCAAACCTAAATGGTATAGTCCACCACATACCTAGGCTATGTGGTGTAACCTGTTGCTTCTAGGCTATAAACCTGTACAACATGTTACTGTACTGAAAATTGAAGGCCATTACAACAAAAGGGTAAGTATGTATAGAAAGATACAGTAACAATATTGTATTGAATATTGATTTCCTTAAATTTTTAGTATTCTTACTATTGTCTAATAATCCCTAATGTATATGTATAAATTATCCTTTCTTGGGATTAGTGGCTACCTAGGGTATGATCTCACCCTTTGTTACACAAGCACCAGATCACTGCTGTAGTTTGACAGTATATTGTATATTCTACTCTTTTTGTTATTATTATTATGCTTTAAGTTCTAGGGTACATGTGCACAACATGCAGGACTGGATTAAGAAAATGTATATTCCACTCTTATTGGTGCTTAGGACAATCAGGGGAAGGAGAGTCTGGATCATGTAGTTTTTCCAAATGTGTTTCTTCATTTTATCACTCCCAAAAGCCCACTGACACCACTAACTGACTATGGGCATGAGCCTGCTGCAATGTTTCTACTTCTGTCATATTTCATCCTACAAGTTTTAGGGCTCAGATATTCTTGTTTTGTTTCTCTATGTATTTGCATCCATATGTTTTCTAACCTTCAGATTTATTCAATATTTACAAACTACTGATAGTGCATTGAGTGACTTTTTCAGAGCCACAATGAGCTTAATCTCTTTTAAAATATGCCTTTTGTTATTTCAATGGGATTTGGGGTTGCAAGGAAAATTTTGACTTCCTCAAATGAATACCAGTGTATTGTTGGAAATGTCCTAAAAGTTTTTCACTTTTGATGTTCTAGTCATCCTTCACTACTAGGTTTCTTTCGTTTCTTTCCTTTTTCTTTTTTACGACAGAGTCTCACTCCATTACCCAGGCTGGAGTGCAGTGGTGTGATCTCTACTCACTGCAACCTCCGGCTCCCAGGCTCAAGTGATTCTCGTGCCTCAGCCTCCTGAGTAGCTGAGATTACAGGCAGCACACCACCATGCCCGGCTAATTTGTTTTGTATTTTTAGTAGAGACGGGGTTTCGCCATGTTGGCCAGGCTGGTCTTGAACTCCTGATCTCAAGTGATCCTCCCGCCATGGCCTCCCAAAATGTTGGGATTACAGGTGTGAGCCACTGTACCCGACCCTCTATGGCTAGATTTCTGTGATCTATTGCCTCTAGTGGCAGTATACCTATGGCTATAGGAGCTTCCTCATATTTCCTGGGTGCTCAGTCATAGGCATCAGGATTCCAATGACATTCCTGAGAGAGTTGATCTCTTTTATCTGAGGAACAAACCACTTCCTTCTGACTCTCTGGACACAAGGTATCAAACACTTTCCCAAATCTCTCCTGTCATTCACCTTTGTAGTGCTTCTTTATTAGCATTGATATAGCTGCTTGAAGTTTATTAATATTAACCACAGCTTGACAGGCATTAGGTCATGTTTCTTACAACTCTACATTATAGCATAACATTTTCTCTCTTATGGTAATCCTAAGAAAAAAATACAATAAACCCTTTCATATTGTAACAAGGTAAGCTATTCTAAATAATCAGTAGTTAAAGAGCAATATAACTACTTATTTTTTTCTGGTTTTGAACTGTTATTTTATCTAAAAGAATCAAATTCTATTTAGCAGTTTTTAAAGGCAAAAGAAAAGGAGTAGCTTGTATTATTTAACAGTTCCATTCTGAAAATATTTTAAAACATTTTATTATTTAACCTTCAAAATAACTGTATAAAGTTAATTGTATTTTCATTTTACAAAAAAAAAAAAAAAAAAAAAAGTTGAGGTTCCAAGAACAAAAGTAGCTTAAAAAAATCAAGAAATAATACATGATATATCTGGGATATAAATTCTGTTGGATGAACAAAGTCTATTCATTCAATTTCATGTCAACAAATTAATAAACAAATCCTTTAAGTAAAATATATCTCTCCCTTCCAAGATTTACAAGAATGTCATATATTCCAATATAAAAATACATGACTGTAAAGCAGATTAAAAAAATGATTAGAGAAAGTGATATTTCTACATTGTGGGAAAGGTAAAAATGTGCACAGAAATCTTTAGCTTAAGACTAAAATGAAAAAAATCTGTTAATATTTCAACACATCATTCCCTTAATCTAGTTGCCTTCAGTGATGACACTCTAATATATTTAATTCACTTTTTCTTTTAAATTGAAAAATAGAAAGAATAAAAAGTTTTAAATATTATAACACATTAAGATTCTTCCATTTCTTCTCGTATGTATTAAAAAATATCAGAATATAAGGGTTAAAAGTACAATGCCTGTAAAATTAATTTGTATTATTGGGCGAGTTATGTTTTGGCTAAAACATTGAGTGATAATACGTGCAAAATAGTATCATAATATTTATAGCAAGCAGAGTTAATCTTTGATACGAAGAGGGAAATGAGATTCCCAGATCAATTCCAAACTATTGTATTGTTTGAGTTCATTTCAAATGCTTCCTCTGGGACTTTTCAGATTGTGGGGTTCAGGGCAATTATGGTTTCAATACACATGGAAATTTTTAGGATATAATCATTAGTAAACATGACTTAAGTGATTTATCATGGTTAGGAAAAATAGTCATTGGAAAATTAAATAATGAAAATGTCATGTTTCTCTACCACTTAGTAACATCAATACAAATTAGAGAATTTGGAGGCAATTACCTACCTGGATTAACAGTGAAGAAAGTCAGTCCACAGTATTATTTTAAAAATTGCCATAAACTGGATGAAGGAGTCAACAATCTACTTATTGAAATGAGTTCATTCACCAAATAAGTTGTGGCAATATATTTCTTCAAAAATAATTTATTTGTATACAGCATATTATTTAATAACTGAGCAGACAGGAATATGACATCTTCCAATCATGCAGTATGTGGTTTCTATACAATATGGATAATACGAACAGAATTGATTTATAGCAATCCAAAGTAAAAGGGGAAATATTGTAACAAGGAATGTTTGCTCCACTGGACAGAAGGTGGGAATATTTACGGATTTCTTTGAGAGCACTATTGTGTTGGATGATGTGTGTTTTATACTTTGGGGGAAAGGTGAGACCTCTCTATCATATCTTTCATTAAACTGCTTGATTTCCCAAAAGCTTGAGATAAACTTGGATATATAGACAGGTTTTTAACCATTTTTTTTTTTGCTATAGTCTAATTTAAACTTATTTGACTTAAATGAAACATTATTCACGGTAGCATGCATTCTAAAGTATTGAGGGTGTTCTATTTGGTTCAAATCAACCACTAGATTTACCTAAACTTAAGAAAGTGAAAGCATTCTCAAAAGTCACATTGCCAGAGACTAAACTGTTAACTTCCATGTTAGTTGGCAAATCTTCTATTTTATTGTTCTCAGTGTTCTAGTCTATGATTGTGTAACTGCTTTCCTTCTGGAAGCTCTGTAAAAATAGATGCATATCTTAAAACGTTGTATAAGGAAGTAGCGTTTTAAGTAAACAATACAGTAACTTGTCTTGAGGCTAATCAGAGTTTTCAAATATCAGAGAAACAACAAAAACAGTTGAATTGAATTTTTAGTCGCTGCTTCTTTAAGTGAATCAGACAAAAATACCTAAATCTTTTAAAATATAGCTTATGTGAATTTCTCATAATTATTAAGGCTTAGAATTTTGTTTCCATATCTTGATTCTCCATGTAAGAGCTTCTAACACACACTTTTAGCTAATGGACAAAACATTTATGAGTGCATGGAATCACAAGCAAGTCAGTAAAAAACACAAAGCATTTTGAGACCAATTGAAATATAATAGATATATAGATAATGACACATTTCAACTGAAAGTTTGCAACAGTTATCTTCCAAGCAAAGTGTAAAGCTTGATTTAACAAAAGATAAAGTTAATACTATTTAATAAGAACAGACCATTATAGATCAGTGAAACTGCAAAACAGAATTATAAGACAAGGGGCAAGCCATATTATCTAAATTAACATTTTTCCAGCATGAACAAGAAGGGCCACTGTAGGAAAGCAAGAGCTAAATAGTACGGCCTGCATTTAGTGAACCTGAAGTAATTATTAATTTATGGTTGTCTGTGATTTTAATGAAAATGAAAGCTGTGAGGAAAGAATTGAAAGAGATAATGTGCCGTGAAATTGAGTTTCATTTATTTAGGGGCCACCTTTTCCTTTTTTGTTGTTGTTAAAGGGAAGAAAGTTAATGCAAGATGTCCACATTAAAATTTCACTAGGATTATGTAACCACTGAGTTAAATGGTAATCATTATATTTGAGCAGAGTTAATGCAAAAGAAATTGAAGCCTAGATTTAGGGCCTACTGGCAAGGGCAAGAATAAAAAAACCCCAATGGCCACAATTAATGCCAAAGTCATAATTACTGTCTTTATAAATATGATGAATCCAGTAGCTATTTCGTCAGATGTATTCTTACTGTCATCACAAAAATGCCCCTTTTTGATGATGGCATCGTTGGAAAGAATATATTTCAAGAATAAAGAGTCAGATACAGGAGGCAAAACAAATCATCAAAATGCAATCGTCTTCTTCAAACTCAAACAAAATGTTTCTACATAGTCATAAGAGTGACAAGCCTTCCAGAGACTAACAGGCATGTCCAGTGTAATAGTGTGGAAAGAACTGCAGTTCATGCACTGAATTTTGTAGCTTCTCTCTACAAAAATAATAACTCTGTCTGCAGAAACATCTTCAAATGAGAAGTCAAGTGATCTAAATTATACTTACTAATTAAATATAGGAAAAGGTGCTCAATGATTTTTCAGGGTTTTTTTTTATTTTATAAGAGAAAATTTTATTTTCTGGTATTTTAATTTCCAAGTTTTAGAATATAATAAGAAAATAATTTAAAATTGAAATACTGTCAGAATTTATAAAAATCATAGAGGTTAGTTATCTTTGCTTTAGAAAAACTTAGGTGAAGTCCATGGAATGGAATATATATACAATATCACATTTTGTTCTGAAAATGTTTAAAAATATATTTTATCACACATATAGATTATGTTTTATGTTTCTAGGTTGAATAGAAATTTATCTATCAAAAATATGTTAAGTAGAGGTCATGTGGGAAAAACAGAATATCTATCCTTTACAAACTAAAATTTTAGTAGGGTAACACCTGCCTAACTTTCTTTTCTTCTCTATTTCTCTTTCTCTGTCTCTCTCTCTCTCTCTCTCCCCTACCCCCACCACTCTCCCTTTTTCTCCTCCCTTCACTTTTTTTCTTTCTCTTAATCAGCAAACAACTTTTGGGCATTTGCTATGTGCTTGGCATTGTGCTGGAATATTGGGAATACAGATTTAAATAAGCATAATCTCCATTATAAAGAAGACTACATGTGTACAAATGATTCAATGTTGCATATGATGTTTCCACAAAAGAATAAAGATCTAAATGAAATTCAAATAGTGGAAAGCCTTGCCCTCTGAGGTAAGAAAGTATCCTTGTTAGTGTTAGCATTTGAAATGTACCTTGTAGCTACAGGGGGATAGAACAATTGAGAATGTTTCGAGAAGGCAATGTAGAGCAAATACTTACTGCTACATGAGAGAACTGGAATTCTGATTAGTATCATCCAGGGGCTACCAGAGACCTAAGATATAGGGAGCAATGCTCAGAAGAGTGTAAGAAAATATAGTAAGACCTGAATCCTAGAATTCAAGAAATAATTTGAAGTCTCACCATTCTGATACCTGAGATCAGTCAGATTTAACTGATCTCAGGGAAGCCACAGGGAAGGTGGGCATGGATAGAGATGAAATAAAATGTATCTCTTCGATAAAGAAAAAAATTCTAGTTTTTTTCTTTTATGGTTTCTGCAAATTATCCACTGAGACTGAAGTACAAGCAAGCAGAGTGGAAGTAAAAGCAGTAAACATATTTTACTCTGTAAGGCAAAGACAACTCTCATTCCTTACGTGGCCCTGGAAGGACTAAAATAGCAGAAATTATGAATGGGTCGTCTTGAACTCAAAGATCCAAAGCATCTGGATACCCATTTGGTGTGCCAACTCAGAAAAATAAGTTAGGTTGTATTAATTCTACATGTATGATATAAATTTGAACAACTACTTATATAAGATTGATATTTAAAGTCCTGTAAGGATCTGAGATATTTAGCCAAAGGCTGAATATCCCTCCAACTTTTCCAAAGTTTCAGGCATTCGAATCTCCTGAATTAATAACTTCCCAACCCAGAGGAGAATTGCTGTATTTGATACAATGCAAGAAGGAGATGACAGCCTATTTGAATGGAAAGTATTCAATTGCATGCTTAGGTAAAACAAAAAGAAACAGAATCTCCCTCTTAAAATAATAAATTGGTTTTATAATTCCACTCGAATTGGTCTTAACTATAAAGTACATTGATTAAGGTACAAAATTAAACAAATTAAAATGCAGAAACTTTGCAGAAGTTACATGGAAAATCTTACAATCTGCTCCTAAACTGCTCTCATTTTCCCATTATGCCTTCTTGTTGCCTGGTGACTTACCTCATTACTAAAAAGAACAGCTCATGACTTCCTGAACAAACAATGCAATTTGAACCATATCTTCCTGCAAATTCTTGCACTGAATACTCTTTGTCTGCTCCCAACTCATCCTGAAAACGTGGACTTTCTTCAAATCCCCTGGTGGACTTTCTTCATGTCTTCTCTCAAACTAGAAACTCTATCTCTGTACCTTATTCTTCACATTTTTACAAATGTAACTCTGTTACTTAGTGCTCAAGTTAGTGTTTTCTATAGTCCTTCAGTGTTTCAACCATGCTTAATTAATTTTAGAGTGCTGGCACATTTTATCATTTAAATAGGCATGAGAAAAAATTCTGGTTGAATGTTGAAAACTAAAGAAGCCATGCCATGAAAGAAATTTTGAGGCTTAAGACTCCTACTGCCCAGATAATTCTAAGGATGTGGAACACTCATGACTTATCTTAAAATAAAAGTTTAGAGTTGTCATTATTCCTTTCTTTCTTTCTTTCTTTCTTTTTTTTCTTTTTTGAGACAGAGTCTTGCTCTGTCACCCAGACTGGAGTGCAGTGGCACGATCTCAGCTCACCTCAAATTCCACCTCTTGGGTTCAAGCAATTCTCTGCCTCAGCCTCCTAAGAAGTTGGGATTACAGGCGCCCGCCACCATGCCCAGCTGATTTTCATGTTTTTAGTAGAAACGGGGTTTCACCATCTTGGCCAGGATGGCCTTGAACTCTTGACCTCGAAATCCACCCACCTCGGCCTTCCAAAGTGCTGGGATCACAGGCGTAAGCCACCGCGCCTGGCCAGTTGTCATTCTTTCTGTGAAGACTAAGTGTCTTTCCCCTAAGTTTCTATGTGGGCAATTTAGGCTGGGAAGGGTAAACATGTTTTAACAGGAAGACATTCAGCAAAATGTGAGTCTGTCCACTGTTATTTCTGTTATTCCTCTACGTTTCATTAAAAGAACAGTTGAAAATAAAAAGAACAAACTTTTCAATAGAAAGTAATTACAGAAAAATAGTATTAGCGAAGATGGTTTAAAACATGTGTTGGAAAATTATAGAATTGATTTGTACTGCTCCCATGGATTCTTCTCAAAATGCTTTCTTGAGAAAGAAATAATGAGCCTATGTTGTTATATCTTCAATGAGTCATATACTAATACCAATTTAATTTCTGTATTCACACAATGATGAATGAGAAAGAATTTCTTAGACTGTTAGATATTTGAACCCAAGAGAAGATCTTCTTCATATTTTTAAGTCAAAGTGCAGAAATCTCATATATCTGCAGAGACCAGAAAAATGTAGTTCATGGCAATAGTTTTTAATCTCTGTATTGCGTTATGAATACTTTCAAATGAATTTCCCCTCTGGAATTGTCTACCTGCTAGAGTTCAAACACCTCTTTAAGCAAAGTGGCAATAAAGAGCTTTAATAAGTGCAAGCCTTGCTGAGTGAGGAATCATTAGTGTAGAGGTGCAGAAAAACACACTTTCTTATTTGTAGAAAAGTGTTAGGAAAGCAGAGTGTAGAAATAAGAGTCATCAAAATGCAAATATAATAAGCTATTTAAATAAACAAACCTCACGGTAATATTGTGCACTACATCTTCTTTTCCTTAGCCTGCCCCAGAGGAAAATTTTCATTTATTTTCCTATCTCAATCTCAATTTTTGTTTACTTTAGGCGCTGTTAGAATACTTCCACCTTAGCAAGGTTCACATGTGAGTAAACTGCAGAGTTTGATCCTCTGTTGGTGATATTTTTTCTTTAACTTCTGTTATAGATGTCTGTTTAAAAAGTGGAGCAGGTATTTCACTGCTCCTATTGGACTTCTTAGTAGTACTCTTTTCTTACAAAGTCCTAGAGCAAAAGACAAATGGAATACTTGAAACTCAATAGTTTAACTAAGAAAATTAATTTTACTAGCTACCCAGGTCAGAGGTCTGAAAAATGTATTCAAAGGGTCGCTCTAAATCATTCTAGATACAATAAAATATACAGATTTCTCTAATCAAACAACTAGCAATACTTTGCCACCCTAGTAATATCAATAAATTCTTGATTTTATATAAGTGATAGATACACAGGAAAAGGTGCTGAAGTCATAGTCTCTATATGTGGCTATCAGAAATTCAGTTAGGAAATCTTGTTTTCTAAAGACCTTATCACAAAAAGATACTAAGTGATGCTGGTCATAATTGTGAGAACAACCATAATATCCAAAATAGAGAGGTATCATTGGTTCCATCAAAGCAAGGGATTGAAATATCTAAAAGAATTCAATGGCATTGAAAAAAGGCTTGAAAGTTGTTTTTAAAGGTTTTATTTGCCACTGAAATGTAGGTATCAGGGTATATTAGGATTTAATTTAAGACAAAAGCTGAAATAGAAAATACATAGCTGAGAGGAATTAATATTTATGCATATAACTCATGGAAATACATAAGTATTTTCTTGGAACTAAATGATAATTTCCTATTGCTTGATTTGAAAATTACAATATTCTTCATTTTTGTAGATAAAATATGGTTAAGAGATGGGAAAGACAGGTATATTGAAGTCTGCAAGAGACACAATTCTTGATCTCTATGATTTTGATGGTCTATATTTATGTTCTCTTTCACATTAGAGTATAACATTATGAAAACCAAAATCATTTGATTTAAATTTATTTTTTCTGGTTAGCCATTGATCATCCCCATTTAAAGGTCTAAAACATTGTAAATATTGTTAAAGTGACCAGAACCTGGAGCATGTTTGGACAAATACAATTTAACAACCATTTCTGAAAAGCTGAGGGTTCATCT
Source organism: Homo sapiens (assembly GCF_000001405.40). NCBI lineage: Eukaryota > Metazoa > Chordata > Mammalia > Primates > Hominidae > Homo > Homo sapiens. The sequence continues at coordinate 71,246,471 of NC_000013.11, read as the reverse complement.
CCTGCTGATTGTAGGATAGTCCTGTCATTTTCATAATTATTGTTATAGCTATCATCTGTTGAGTACTCACTGTGTCAGACATGGTACAAAGCACTTTTTATTATCAGAAGAACACTCTGCTGTAGGTATCATGATTACTTTTTCCAGTTTACAAAAGAAGATACTGAGATTTGGAATATTTTAAAACGTGTGTTATGTCATGTCAAATTTATTAGGATGTGAGCCTGTGGTGTCTGGTGTAAAATCCAACTCAACAAGAACTCTAAAGTAATTGCTATGAAAAACAAATCTAAAAACAAGGAAATTTTTAACAATAGCATTACCAAAGATATTTAAGCAGAAATTAAATTATAAAGTACTAAAAATGAACAAAACATATTGGTAATTCTGTCTCCTAGAAATTGAATTTAACTGTAAATACAAGATCTGAAAAATAGTGGCTGAAACAAGATAGGGCTCTATTTTTTCTTTAATAAAATAAGTCCAGCGGTAGACAATCTAGAACTGATATGGAGGCTCTTGTGGATGAGCTTCATAAATATTCTGAGATCCTTCAGTCTTTTTTCTCCCTCATGCTTGAAGCCTGGCTTTCATACTCAAACTGTGGTTGCAAGATGGCTGCTAAACCCAAGCAGTTACATCCATGTCCCCAGGCAAGAGGAAGGATTAAAACAAAAAAGAAATAGATGGACTAAAGCTTTCTGCCAATTGAGTCAGATTCTTTGATGAGGAGTGATCCTGGAAACACCAACTAAAAATTCTACTGATGTTATACGAGAAAGAAGTTAGTCACATGGCCACTCCTATATATAATGATGTGTGTCACATAAAAATCTTTCAGGTGAGCACACTGCTATTTACTTCTCTCAAAAAAGTATACCGCCAAAGAAGGAAGAGTGAACGTTTACTTTGTACATAATTAACAGGCTCTACGGACCCTTCCCAATGACTCAATCCTAAACTTACAGAAATTTTGTTTAAAAAATGGTATGTACATATGTATGCATACATGTATATTTTTGTGTTTCATGGCTTTTGTTTCTCCATAGGCAAAAGCCAGCAAAATTTTATATTTTCTTTTGGTTCAAATATAATGAAAGAATTATAATGGAATCTCTTTCTAATAAAAAAAAAATCTCTAAAGGCTATCTCATGTGCTGATAAAGGAAACTCACCTCAGTAGCCACCAGTTCTTGATTTCTCCAGCGAAACCCTTTTCTGACAGTCTGGGAAGTCAGGAAAACATTGGTAGGTAAGTGTTGATTAAAAGTGGAATCACAGAAAAAGAACATACTAGTCTTCTTATTTTATTATTATTTTCAAAATGTGCTGAAGGGAGTGCTACATTCTGATAGAATGAATACATTCAATTTATAGTAAACACATTATTCTATCTCTGAATGAAATTGTCACTCTAATTTTATCAATGCATACAAATTTAACCATTTCATGTCACTTCTGGTTCTTTGGTTTTTAGAAGTTAAATTTGGATAACTGAGAAAAACAAAAATTTATGAGAAAGCTATGAGCATGAGCTAAGGAAAAGAAAAGGAGGAAGGTTTCGAAAGAGGCGAAATCGGGGCCACTATGGGATTCTCAAGTTCATGGAAGAAGGAGCTGAGGAGTAGTTAAGAGTAAACCATTTCCAGGGTGTCCTGCTTTATAATCCCATGTAGAAGTTCCATCCTGGCCAGAGAAATGTCAATGATTTATCGAGCCCCACTCTCTGGTGGGGGTAGCCACTTGGATTTGACTGAAACCTATGCAAGAAGGGTACTTCTCCAAAACATACTCAATGCTTTTACCACAATTCAATGTGGTAAAAACAATACATGTTCAGAATAGCTTCTGAGGGTTTTTATTTTTTCCTAAGGTAGCATACTATGCTTTTAGTGTTTCAAAAGTATGAATATCATGAATATTTGAAAACACTTAGGTCCATTGTAAGAGGCTATGTTGTCCTTACAACTTCCTTTCATGTTTAAATGCCAGGTGTTAGGGAAAACTTTTATTTGTCTTATTCTATCAAGATGAAGGTCACATTTTTATGACCATTGATGTCACCCTGTTTTCCATCTTATTCCTTGTATATTTTCAGGCACCGTGGCCAAAAATGAAAAGCACTTCCCTTTGTTTTCCTACGGGATCCCATAGCATTCTTATACCACAATAGTGGTCAAGGATCCAAATGACTTTTTCCTACTGTTAATCTGGCAGCGAAAACTATTTCATTTCTACAGAAGCAATTGCAATCTAAATTGCTTTTTGATCCATAGATACATTTATTTTCCTGTTTTCTTTTTCTTGCTATTGTTTTAGTTTTTCTCTGAAAACACAAAAGTAATACGGATTTTAAAATTCACCTCTGAAGAGAGGGCACACAAATATGCTTTTTGTATAAACTGGGTTAACATTTACATTTACAAGTCAATTCTTTCATATAGGTTTTCTATTTCAGCCAGAAATGATAAGCAGAAACCTACAATATGACCTAAACAATATCACCAACATCACACTTTTTGTTTTTCCGTGTAATTTTTATTTTAAGTCAATACACAGAACCTGATATTTTAAAGAGCAGTCTCGGGTTTTTTTCAACTGCTTCAGAATACATTTTTATAGATGAAGATTTGATAGCTTCATGGACTAGTATTACAAACTTGTGAAAAATCACAAGGAAAGCCCGAAAGGTAAAATAACTCTCAGTGACTTAGCTGCACTGGTAGCGAGCAGTAGCTTTTGACCTTGGACCCAGATCATGCTAAAGAACCAGTGGTTGTTAGAAAAAATGAATTAAGGAAATGTATGAAATCTATTTATAGGCAAAAGCACAGATGACCAGGGCCTGAAATACATTGGTCACATTTCTCAGTGTTAATATCTTTGCTGTGGTAAGTTTTTTGTCAGGATGTCAATTCTGCTAATATGATCTCTGTAGAGCCTCATAGCACAGCTGATGAAGAGTTCCTTTAGATGTGTATTTTCTTTCTACTTATCCAAATTATATAATGTAAACTCCAAGCTATCAGGAAAATTAGCTGAAGTAAATAAAACATTACTGTCTGCTAAAATACTTTTTGTATTCTCTTTAGTGTTAAAAATATTTCAATTCATGATAAATATAATATCTTTTGCAGATATTTATGAAAATGCAGACAAGCAAATTCCTTTCATGGTCAGATAGATGATTATAAAAAACAAGACTAAATTCAAACAAATATGGTTGGCTGGATCACAGTTTGAGTGAGGTCATAACCCTGAACAATTTTCTTAGATAATATCATCAGTAATACTTCTAAAATAAGGGCTGAGCATTCTTTACAAAAGGTCACAGTTTATAGGAACAATAACCTACAATAAAACTGTATATATATGACCTTCTTTGTTGGTATAAAAGCAGGATTAGTTCATAATTGGCCCACGAGCTTCGAGAAGGTACAAGGCAGAACATGAAAATGTTGGTGTGCTAGACGTAAGCCTGGATGATTTGAACGGAAGAAGAGGTCCCTGGTAGGGTAATAATAAATATTTGCGTTAGGTCATGAAAAGGGTAAGTGTCCCTTCTCACTTACCCTTTTCTAGTTGATAACTAAATTATTCTCACACTCTTAGTTTAGAAGGACAATTTCTGGAGAAGTAAAATCACACCAATTCCCTGAGATGGATCTGTTTTCTGAATAAATGCTGTTATTGTCTGTTATTCTCTTATTCATTTTTTTCTAAGATTCAGTATTTACTGTTGACTGTCTCCACAATTTTCAATTTAAGCACTGTCTCTCTTCTCCTCTCTCCACACCGCTACCCACCCCCTGTATACGTGTGTGTGTGTTTAATGTGTGTGTGAATGTTTATATTTAAGGCGTTAGTGAAGTGCCCAAGTCCAGAGTCACCAGAGCCACATTTTGCTTTTGTCAGAAGTGGTGTAGGACCTTGAAGAGCATGTTGAAAATGGTGTAGATAGAGAAGCTCCCTGTGTAGATTAATTCAGTGCACAGCTGGGGCTGGGAGGGCAAGCCCATTCTAGGGAATGAAGAATGGCCGATCAGGGGTGGAGCTGCCCGCCTCCCTCTCCACAATGTACTAATCCTCAATTTGGCACTGCTTTAAAAGAAAAGAAATCTAAATTGAGGCCAGCTGATTTCTTACTGAATCAGCCAGCTGGATGTGGAGCCAATTTCCGCAGCTTCCACGCTGTGGTAGCCAGGAAATATTTTAATTGAAAGAACTCTATGTTGACAAATACCAAAGACAACCTATTTATAACTTTTAACCAATATTTATGGAATTCCCTGATTTAATAACATATTCCTTTAAACTCAATTACAAACTAGAGTAATTGTTAGTCTAGAACCAAAGCTAAATGATGTGCAAACAAAATACAGCAAAAGTAAAGAAAAAGGAAAGAAGAACTAGTGAATGACGTACACAAATCAACAGGCATGTGTAATTGAGGTTGATAATATACATATATTCAGCAAAAGTAGTTTCAAGTCACGAGTAGGTGTGATTTTTAAAACACTTATAGTTTAGAAGATTTAATATTATACAATCAGTGAAGGTATCTTTTTAAGCACTTATAGTTTTAACAGCTAGGTATAAATAAGCATATTAGGTAGAGGTTTTTTGTTTTTTGTTTTTTGTTTTTTTGCTAGCCAATCTGAATGATTTCTTATTTCTTCCTCCTTTAAAGTGAAATTAGCTGTGCTTTAAATGACCCTAAAACAAAAACAAAATCCAGTAGAAATTTTCTCTCTTCCTTAACGTCAGTGATTAAAAGTGCTTAATTATATGGATGACATAATGTTATAAACTTTTAAATACATATTCTCCTTTTAAAAAATTGTGATGAAGTTTATTGACCTTGCATCATAATTAAAACTATTCAGTTTTGTAGTTGTTTTCCCATGAGTGATTTTTTAACGTTTGAAAGCAGTGCTTTGTCCTGGTAAGTTATCTCTTCTTTGTATATATTTTTTTTCTTAACTAACTCAACTTTTTACAATGTTTAATATAGTGCATGTAGTGACTTGTTTTTTTTTCTTATAATCAGAGATATTATCATAAAACTACTTTTACTCACCCAAGGAGAAGTGATGAATTAGAGAGTAAGAATGGTTTGCAACATGGTTCATTTCAAATTAAAATGGTAGCAAAGTGTAAAATTGATGATTTATGCACTTCTATTTACCTGTGAATCACATATAAAATCACACGATTACATTGGATTTGGGAAGATATTATTATCAAATTCATCTGCTTTGGAAAAGCTACTGTTGTTTTCTCCATTACTGTTACTGGTGATGGAGAATTATCAAATGTGGTAATGCTGATAGCTGTGGTGTGCTGTAAGGCAGCTCTCCCTAGTGGACACTGCTATACCCATGCTCAGCCTATGTCTCAAAAGTGAAGAATGTCCCCATGAACTTTTTGAGTATAATTATAAATAAATAAATATCAAAGTGTTAGGTATAGTGTATATGCATTTAAAAATATTGTTATCTCAAATGAAAAATTTGTTTTGTGGTAGGGATATTAAAATTCAATGTTTATATATCTCTCAAAATAGAGAAAGTATATTTGGACATCATGACCCTCCAAATTAGTTATTTATTGAAGTAACTAATATAAAGTGACAAGAGAAACATTTTACATTATTGTAGGAGAGATAAGAGGAATATTGACCTTCATGAAATCTGGAGTAAAAACATTAGCAAGTAAAACCCAAGTGTAAATTTAAAAAGAAAATGGTGGAGAACTGTTGGGAATTATTTAATCATAGAAGAATGTGCCTGCCACAGAATTTCATAAGTAATTTTATTGGAGAAAAAGATCCACCTCATTACTCATTATCCATTCTTATGAAATGTTCATCCACATGCACAATGATGCATTTGTAGACTTACACCCTCTTTGAAAAAAAGGCATTTTGCATTTAAATTGCTCTTCCATTTCTAAAGTAGCTGTAAGGAGGAGAGTGTGAGCCTCAAAAGAATAATATGTAATAAAAATAGCTAAAACAACATTGAACATAGTTTGAAACAATGCATTTTGTTTTAATTTATAATAATTAATTTATTAGATTGTTTTATTTTGATTCCATAAAGTTATGGACAATAATTATAGGGGGAACAACCTCTCATATAGTACTCGAGGCAAAGTGATAGATAATGGTCTACTGTCTCTGGGAGTATAGTCAGCAAGAAAAAGGCCCATTAAGCACATAATCTATGTCCATTTATGGATATTCACAACTTCTCATTTAAAAAGTAAGAAAAAAAAAGACAGACATAAAAGCAGAATCACTCCATCCGCAACCTTCAACACCCATCTAATTGTTTTTCATTCCTGAAAACCTTAACCTTTGTTCTGAAAAAGCACGTAGAAAGGAATTACCCAGCTTTGTTTCTATGTCATTGTTAAGGGAAGTGAGATGGTTGTTCTTAGTATTATTTTAGGAAAGTGGGAGCTCCATCAGCCCTTAGGGCTATCAAATAGGGTTCAACCAGCAGAGTATATATATGCTTATTGACTGGTGGACCATTTGACCAAATCTATGAATAAGTAAACACTATGTAAAGAAAGGGGAAATTCCATCTCCCAATCCACCTCTGCCTCTATGTAGGTTTTTTTTTTTTTTTGATCAATTTCAATTAAAGAAGAGATTAGAAGAACAAGATCAGGATTAAAGATGTAACCTCTCATTCAAAGTAACATGGAGGTCTCCAATTAGCATATCATTAAAAAAAAAAACAGGAAACATAGTATTCATATTGTGAAAATGCTCATTATTTAAAATTTGGGGCCAACAAATGTTTACTAAAAAAGAAGATAGAGAGAGAGAGGAAAGGTTGAGGAGGGAGGGGAAAAAATAGAAATATTTTCGGAAGAGGAAACCAGCACTCACTGGCCTGCCGTGGATTAGCCAAGATCTAAACCTTCCACAGATTTCTGAGGTGGTAATTCTCATATGGAGAAATTGAGAAAGGAAACAAAGCAGTTTCCTCATCACTTAGAAAGACTCAGGTGACTGAGGTGTGAGCACTCCTTAAAAAGGGATTTTTTTCCTCTACGTGGGCTAAAAGGGCACATCTGCAAAATAGCTGCATGAAAGTAGAATGTGTTCCGGTGTACACATGAGCAGGAAAAACATAATGCACTAGATAGGCACATTAGAAAAATAATTGTTACTGCTCCTGTGAGAAGACTTCTCCATCCTGTGTTTATGCCAAACTCTCCTTTTCAGAGGGCAGGTTGGCGTTAAAAAAGAATCACTGATGTTACATATGTGTATGAAGTCTTGGGTTTCTCACTTTCTCCTATACTTTACTTTGTATGAGGTTAAAAAATTAGCATTTTATCATCATATTAAACTTCATTATCAATGTGTATTTCCTGATTTAATTTTTAATGATTTTGAATATGAGAAGTAATGCAGCAAGTGAGCTTTACTTTATATTTGTTATACATACATATTAGCTATTATTGAATAATTTTCTTTATTGTCATTGTTAGAAAATTTAGAATTGTTCAATAATTTCTTGATATTAGATTACTAACTATATTAATATGCTTTTCCCAACTTTTAAAAAATAGTACTTGAATTGCAAGTATAAGAACGTGGCATACCTTCAAAGTAACTACTTAGACGACTATGACAATACTCTTAACATTTAATATTTTAACCTGTTGTCTAAGTGTTTTTCAAGGCTATCATTTAATTCAATAATACAACTAATTCCTCTAGAAGTGCTAGATTTAGTAGTGATTTCTATATATGTATATTATTGTAATACAAGAAATTGTAGCATTTCTTATTTTTTCAGAAATGCACATTTCATTTCTTATAAGTACTATTTACAACAGTAGGCATATGATAATCTTTAATAATATTGGTATTATGCAGGTTCAATTATCTGTGTTAAATATGGCAGCAATAGAACCAAAACTCTGTTCACCCACAGAGGAGTAACTCTTCTTGTCATTAAAAACAAAACAAAACAAAACAAAACCTGCCTGATAAACTACATGCTACATTTTCTTTTTTTTCTTTTTTCTTTTTTTTTTTTTTTTTGAGATGGAGTCTCGCTCTGTCGCCCAGGCCAGAGTGCAGTGGCGCGACCTCGGCTCACTGCAAGCTCCGCCTCCCAGGTTCACGCCATTCTCCTGCCTCAGCCTCTGGAGTAGCTGGGACTACAGGCACCCGCCAAAGCGCCCGGCTAATTTTTTGTATTTTTAGTAGAGACGGGGTTTCACCGTGTTAGCCAGGATGGTCTCGATCTCCTGACCTCGTGATCCGCCTGCCTCGGCCTCCAAAAGTGCTGGGATTACAGGCGTGAGCCACCGCGCCCGGCCCTACAGTGCTACATTTTTATTCCCGTGAAAAAATTTCCAGGTGTTCCCTAAATGAGCTGTATCCTTTCTCAAACAGTGAAAAGCGACATGCTATATAATATGAGGTAGTGAAGCCCAATAATAGCAAATGTTATAAATATTACTAAGTATAGATGATAGCTAATTGATTAATAAAAATATATCTAGCCATTGTTGTAAGCAAGCATTATTTTTAGATATGAGTCTAAAACTTCATTTGACATTATTTAAAGGTAATATAGTGTTTCTGTTTTAATATTTTCTAAATGTCTTAAAGTCTTTCCATACTTTCGAACAAAAATTTTCAGAAAGAAAATTTAAATAGCCCTTAAGACCATGAAATTATTGAATGAATAACTTTGTTTTGACTATTAGTGACACTGGCCCTTTAAAGGGCAATAACACATAATCAGCCATTCCTTGACCATTCAAATAGAAATCTAAGTACGTTTTACAGTTGAATAGTTGCATTGCAATGTGAAATGGGGTGTATCAACAGAAATAACCCTTTTCATTTTACCTAATCCCAGGAAATAAAAGCTTTAGCTAATAATAACCCATCCTTACATTAGAAATGTAATTCTAGTAACGGAAAAATCTGAAATAGCTGACCACATACCATTCATCATAGAATGTCAAACAGCCATCAGTTCAAGAATAGAATCCAGTTGCCAAACTAGTAGATATGAAAGTACTATATTTGCAGATCCTCTCTTTGTGAGAAGAAAACAACAGTGGAGGACTCCCAAGCCCACCCGCTTTGAAATGTTGGCATTGGTGTTGGAGTCAGAAATACCAAGCACTCAAATGTATATTGGATTTCTTCCATTTATCATTTTAAAAAACTTTATCTGACACATATGTTTTGTAACCCAGCTGAATTAAAGGCGCTTCCATACAGAAACATAAAAAAGACATGTTAAAAATTATCAGCCAACTTTGAACAAGGTGATTACTGTATAACTTGAGAAAACAAATTTGCAGAAACAGCAACTATAACCACCTTTCATCTCATTCGCAAAAGGCTCATAGATTAAACCACTGAACAGTAGACTATTTGATTTTTTAATATATTTAAGTATTATTTTTAATAGTTTCTATGACATTGTTTTAATCATTTGATTTTATATGTGTGTGTGTTCTAATGACTGCGTGTGTGTGTGTATGCCAGCTATTTATTGCTTTTAATTTACTGTGCTTTAAAATAAACATGCTGACCTGCACCCATTCAATTTCCATAAAGCAGTAAGTTAATACAAATTTGTAGAAGTAACAAAAGGGTATAATAAGAGATGTTACTAAGGTTTTCCACTTTAAAATAAGATTTATAGATTAAAATTTTACACACATACATAAACAACAATTTAAGTAAATATGAAGGAAGGTAAAAAATTAAGACATTACCTACTGATTGGTAGCCTTGCCCATATCTCTATTTTTGTCTTAATCTATCTCCTCCTACCCACATGCTGGCTTCTACATTTTTTTTGGCTTTTTTTAGAAAATGCTTTTTGCATTTTAAAATGTATCTATAAATAATATGTTTTAATTTTTGCTTATTTTCAGAATCTGTAAAAAAATATGAGTCACAATTTAATTACTTCTTGTTTCCTGTTTTCCCTTTTGAAATTATGTTTGTAAGATTCATCAATATTATTGGATATAGCTCTAGCTGATCATTTTACATTGTTGTATATGTATCTCAATTTAGTTATTTATTCCTCTGTTGATAGCCATTTAAGTTTTTTCCAGTTTCTTTAACTGGAAATTGTTTCTTTAACTATTCTTATAGATGTATCCTAGAACCTGTAAGATGTATTTATCCTGGTTACATATTTGAGAGTGGAATTAATTAGGACATCTCAGCATGCGTAGTTCTTCAATATTGGAATAAAGCACAGATTTTAAAGTAGTTGTGACAATTTTCATCCTTACTAGCAACATGAGTTCCTGAGATCAAAGTTTTGACAAATGCATAAACCTGTGTAACTCAATATCTAGATTTTGAAATCTAGAAATCTAGAAATCTTTGTCATCATTCCAGAAAGTTTCCTCATGCCGTTTCCCAGTTGATGTTTAGTTCCACCTCAACAGAAGCATCCACTAATATGAATTTTCTTCACCGTAGATTAGCTGTTCCTTTTCTAGAAATTTATATAGGAGAAATTCTACAGTATATATTATTTTAGGCAAAGATATTTTTCTTTCTTTTAACTGGAATAATCAGTCATTTGGAGATTCATCCAGATATTGTGTGTATTAGAAGTTTGGTGATTTTTATTGACAATATTCCATTGTATGCATATACAAATATTTGATTATCCACTCTCCTCTTGAGTGTCAACAGGGCTCTTCTTAGTTCTGGAGCATTAGGAATAAAGTTACTGTTAACATTCTTGGTCAAGTCTTTTGTTTCTAATGTGTGTTGCATTACTTTTTTCTTAGAGACCTAGATGTGAAGTTGTTGGATCATAGGGTATATACATACTTGCCTTTCAAAAAAGCACTTCCAGACATTTTACATAGTGTTAGTAACTCTTTACTCCTGTCAGTAAAGCATGAAATTTTGTATTACTCTATGTTCTTGCCAAATGTTAGTGTTGACAATCTTTTAATTTTAGCCATTCTGATTGGTGTGTTGTGGTAACTCATGGATATTAGAATTTGCAATTCGCTGATGGCTAATCATTTGACTACTTTTTATGCAATTACTAGCTATTGTGCTTTTTATTTTGTGAAGTGCACAAGCAGTTATTTTGGCCAGATTTTTTAAAAAGTGGGTCGTCTATCTTCTTATTTCTAAGTATAGAAATTCTTTATATATCCAAAATAGGAATCCTTAGTCAGATACATATCTTGCAAATTTTTTTTCCCAGACTATGAATTTTGTCTTGATTTTCTGAATGATGTTGTTTTAGTGTGCAGAGCTTTAAATATTTTTCCATTTAAAAAGAAACTGGGGTGAAACTTACATAATAAAATTACGCATTTAAAATGGACAATTCGTTTGCATCCAGTGGCATTCAGTACATTCAGAATGTTGCACGGTGACCACTTTTATCTAATTCCTATAGCCTAAAACAACAACAACAACAACAAAATCCTTTTCCTATTAAGCAGTTATTACCTATTCCCATTTCTCTTCAGCCACTGGCGACCATTCATCTGTTTTTTTTTTTTTTTTTTTTTTTTTTTTAATCTCTGAAGACTTACCTATTCTAACTATGCAGGCATGAAAAAGAACGAGATCGTGTCCTTCGCAGGAACGTGGATGGAGCTGGAGGCCATTATCCTTAGCAAACCAACACAGCAACAGAAAACCAAATACTGCATGTTCTCTCTTAAAAGTATAAGCTAAATGATGAGAACGCATGAGCACACAGAGAAGAACGACAGACACGGGGGCCTATCGAAGGCTGGAGGGTGGGAAAAGGGAAAGGATCGGGAAAAATAACTAATGGATACTAAGCTTAATACCTCGGTGACAATATAATCTGTACAACAAACCTCCATGACACAAGTTTACCCATATAATAAATCTGCACGTGTACCCCTGAATTTAAAGGTTAAAAAAAAAGACTTAACCTATTCTAGATACTTAATATAAATGTAACATGCAAAATAGTTGCCCTTTTGTCTCTGAATTCTTTCACTTAGCAAAGTGTTTTCAAGTTTCATCCAGTAGCATGTATCAGCACCACATTTTTATGGCTGAGTAATATTCTATTGTGTGTATATATCATATTTTGTTTGTGAACAAAATCTGCTGATGGACACTTGGGTTGCTTCCACTTTTTAACTATTGTGGGTAGAAGCCTTTAGTTTGGATAAAGCTGAATTTTTAATTTTCAGTAATGATCATTGTGTTCTGTTTCTTTTCTAAAAATTATTAGAGTGCCCCAAGAAAGTAAAATTCTTTTTCTTACATTTTCTTTAAGCCTTTTATTGTTTTCCTTTCAAAGTTAGGCCTCGAATCCATCTCAAATCAATGTTTATGTCCTGTGTGAAATAAGAATCAAGGTTTTTCCTCCTCCTCCTTTTCTTTCTCCTCCTTCTCCTTCTCTATATTCCAATTTTTCCAGGCCCACTTTCGGAAAAAACTTTTCTTGCCCTTTGGGATGACCTTGGTTTTTTTGTCAGTAATCAAATATGAATCTACTTTTGGTCTGTCAATATCATTTCAATGCCCTGCTCATTAATTTTAATTCCCACATTATATTGTCTTGATTACTATAGCATCCTAACAAAACAGGTAGTATAACATTTCAACTTTATTCTTTCATTAAACATTGCTTTATTGTGTACTTTTTAAATTCCATATAATTTTTAGAATCAGCCGGTCAATTTCTCCAAAAATGTCTGGTCTGATTGTGATTGAGATAAAATGAAATCAATATATCAGTCTGTGGAGAACTGATTTTTTAACATAAAGCCTTTTAATTCATAAACTGAGTATATATTTACATATATTTAGTTTTACTTTAATTACTTGCAGCAAAGTATTGTAGTTTTAATTACTTGCATATCTTTTGTTAAATTTGTTTCTAATTTTTTCACGTTTTTGAATACAAATGTAAATAAACTTTTAAAAAATTGTGCTTTTTTGAATATTTTGATGGTACTATATAGGAATACAACTGGATTTTGCTACCTTGAGTATTAAAACTTTGCTAAATTTGCTTATTTTATTAACAATTCTTTTACAGATTTCCTAGGATTTTCTAGGTAAGAACTCAGGTTATTCCAGTTAGAAAGTTTGACATATTTTCTAAACTTTATGCTTTTTATCTCCTGACCTATTGCAATGGCTAAATCCTTCATTACAGTGTTGAAATGAAAGTTCAGAGTAAAAATTATGAATTTTTTAAGTAGTTTTGGGGAAAAACATGCAACATTGCATAATTAAGCATGACATTTACCCCAGAATATGTAGACGAACTTTATCAGATTTATGAAGTTTCTTTATAATCTTAAATTGCTGAGTTTATATCACAAACATATTTAATCAAAATGCTTTTTCCATATCTGTTAAAATAATCATATGGGTTTTCTGATTTATTAATGGGACGATTTATGTGATTTACTTTCAAAGGTGAATGCAATATTGCATTGTTGGACCACTTGACATCAAGTATTATCCTTTTTTATTTTTCTGGATTAAATTTCATATTTTGTTAAGGATTTTTGCTTTGTATAAATACATATATATATTTATACATATTGGTATTTCTCCTCAAATATTTGTTATAATTCACAAATGCAACCATTTACTCCTGGAGATTTCTTTATGAAAATGTTTGAAAACCAACTCTATTTACTTAATTTACCATATCAGCTATCAGCATATGTTTTTCCTCATTATATAATATCTTATTTTTATCAATCACTGCTTTAAAGAATTCCTGGTTATCATTGGTTTCAAGGAATTTTGCATGCAACCAAGCACCACCTGTTCCCCCAACTATGAAAATAAAAATATCAATAAATTTTAGTAGGATATGCTAGTTATAGTTCTCTTTATACTTACTCTGCTTGGTATTCACTGGACTCCATTAATTTAAAATTTAATAAATTTTAGGTACTTTTGGCTATATTTTTTCAATCTTTTTTATTCTCATTTCTCTCTCTTGTTCTCCTGTGATTTTGATTCCATACCTACTATAAGCTGCTTGATGTTGCCCTCATGAAGCCCTGTTCATTTTTTTCTAAACACCTTTCCTCTATGTATTTCAGATTAGATGATTTCCATTACTGTATTGTTATGAACTGAGTGTTTATGTTTCCCCAAAATTTGTATGTTGACATTTTTTTAATAGAGACAGAGTATCTCTCTGTCACCAGGCTGGAGTGAGTGATACAATCATAATTTACTGTAACTTTGAACTCTTGGGCTTAAGTGATCATCCCACCTCAGGCTCTTGAGTATCTAGGACTACTGTGCACACCACCACATCCAGTTAATTAAAAAAATATATTTTGTAGGGACAGGGTATCACTATGTTGACTGGGTTGGTCTCAAACTCCTGGCCTCAAGTGATCTTCTTGCCTCAGCCTCTCAAAGGTGCTGTGATTACAGGTATGAGCCACCACACCTGGGCTTATGTTGAAATCTTAATCCCCAATGAGATGGTATTAAAGGTCAGGCTTTTGTGTGTCATTAGGTCATAAGGGTGGAGTCCTCCTTATGGGATTAGTGCCCTTATGAAAGAATCCTCTCTCACTTTTTCCACCATGTGAAGATATAAGAGTTCAGCAGTCTTCAAGCTGAAAAAGAGCTCTCACCCAACCATGAGACCACGCTGGTTCCCTGGCTTTCACTTTCCAGAACAGTGAAATATACATTTCCATTGATTATCAGCTACCCATTGGATGGTACATTGTTATAGCAACCTGAACTAAGACTTTTATCTTTTAAATCATTGGCCCTTCCGTTCCCATTTTCTTTATTATGTTAAACCCATTAATTAATGTTTCATTTCAGACATCTTTTTGTTCAGAATTCCTATTTTGTTTATTGGTAGTATTTCCAATGTTATACTAGGTTTCTGTGCATTCATTTATTATGTCAAATTTTCCTTTATGTTTTGATATATTGTTAATAATAATTTAACATCTTTATCTACAAAATCCAATATCTGAGTAATCTCAGAGTTATTTCCTCTTTACTGCATTTTGTTTTTTGTCTTTGGATCACATTTTCCCATTTATTTAAATCTTTAAAAATATATTTTGGACACTAGAAATAATATACTGTAGAGAATTTGGTTTCTTTAATTTTTCTATATGATGTTTTGACTTTTGTAGCAACAGGCACTTAACTGATGCGAACCCATTATCCACACTCTTTTCATTGTAGTAGGCAGCAACTGAAACTGCCTGTTTCATTTAATTTTTCAGCTGCTCCTTTTGGCAGACAAATTTGTAAGTACATTTTAGCCTAGAGTTTGAGTTGGTGAATGATGTGCTAGCTGGATTTCATCTCTGATACTCCTTTTTGTCCAGTGCCCTCTTGCTGTGCCAAAGTGCAAAACCATTTCTTTAGTGAAGGCTTAATAAAGTGATTTTACCATAAAATGAATGAGTTTGGTATAAATTAAAATCTCTCATTGGCCCCCGAATTATGTAAATAGATATTTATACTATATGATATGGTTTGGCTGTTTCCCCACCCAAATCACATCTTGAATTGTATCTTCCATAATCCCCATGTGTCATGGGAGACACCCAGTGGGAGGTAATTGAGTCATGAGAGCAGGCTTTTCCCATGCTGTTCTCATGATAGTGAATAAGTCTCATGAGATCTGATGGTTTTACAAAGGGCAGTTCCCCTGTACACACTCTCTTGCCTGCCACCATGTAAGATGTACCTTTGCTGCTCCTTTGCCTTTTGCCATGATTGTGAGGCCTCTCCAGCCATGTGAAACTGTGAGTTCATTAAACCTCTTTTTCTTTATAAATTACTCAGTCTCAGGTATGTCCTTATGGCAGTGTGAGAATGAACTAATATACTATACTTTAGGTTTTAAGCATAGATTGAGTTGATCCCACACTAGAGTGTGTGTTCAGCCATTGTAATAGAAGACAGACTTTAAGTAATAGCTATAAATGCATAAGGATGTAAGGAAATGAACAGGAAATGTATAGTGGCCCATATCAGTTTTCTATGTAGGCTTTGCCCACATTTTTGCTCTTATCACTGACCCAGAAATGTTTCGATAGTGCCTTTTATTCAAATTGTCCTTTTTAGAACTATTTTATATATAGCTTTTTGTTAATTGTCACTGTAGTTAAAAAAGAAACCTGAAACATTTTTGTAAGATAAAGTTAAAATGATACTGATATTAATGCCATAGTAAGTCTGAAATAAACTCACTTTTACTTTCTGCTTTAAGATTTTAACATAAATAAATGACAAAACAAGAAGCAAATAAAGTTCTAAGAGACTTAAAGTATAGTCTCAATTCCAAGAAAGGTTTTCAAATATTGAAATATTTTCTTGATTTAATTCTGTTTCTTTTTCACTCTTACTGGGTTACACGGCTAATTCGTTAGGTGATTATGTGTGACTCTAGAGAGAATCTGGAAGTTATATCCTTGTTTTATACTTCAGAAATCAAAAGCCTTTGGTGTTGAAACTACATTTTTGAGATATATAAAATATGGTAATATATAAGACAGAACTATTAACTAACAGCTATTAACTGTTGTTAAAAGCCAGAAAGAATGGTAGTGACTAAAAGTTAGAGCAAATGGTGCTTCCCAAGCACTGGTAATAATCTGCTTTTTGATATCATTGCTCATTACACGACCATGTTTAGTGTGTGAAAATTCATAAATTGGTGCAATTATATTTTTACTTTTCTACATGTATAAATAATGTGGTGTGTGTATACATAGATATAACCTTATGTTTAATTAGAATAGATGCATGGATTAGAAGAAGCAAGAGAGACATATGGATAAAAGTTGAAAGGCTCTTAAGATAATTAAGAAATAAATAATTTCAGATTGGCTAAAAGTGATAGTAAAGGGGATAAAAGAAAGTGAATGACGCACTGTATATTGAAAGTAAAGTTCTAGGGCTTGGTAAGTTGAACTGGGAAGAATGAATATTGTCTCAGTTGTCTCTTTTTTTTTTTTTTTGAGACAGAATCTCACTGTGTCCCCCAGGTTGGAGTGCAGTGGCACGATCTCGGCCCACTGCAACCTCCACCTCCCGGGTTCAAGCAATTCTCCTCCCTCAGCCTCCTGAGTAGCTGGGATTACAAGCATGCGCCACCATGACTGGTTAATTTTTGTATTTTTGGTAGAGACAGGGTTTCACCATGTTGGTCAGGCTGGTCTCGAACTGCTGACCTCGTGATCCCCCTGCCTTGGCCTCCCAAAGTGCTGGGATTACAGCTCATGGTTTTTTATATGCCATAAGACATGACAATGCTATTTTCTGAGACTATAAAAATATATGGAGGAGTAGCTAATTTCGAAGGAAAAAGCAAGAATTTATTTTTATCTATGATAAATTGAGATGCATGAGAAAGTAAAAAGGTGCCAAGTAGTCAGTTGACAATATATTTGAGTTCAAAGTTAAAAAGGGAAGTTTTGTCTGGGAATAACATATTAGGAATTATTGGTCTATAGTTAATATTCAAATGTGGGGAGCAATGAGTTCACCTAGGAGGTTGTTGAAATAATAGTAATACTAAGACAATGCATAGATAAAAATAAATAATAAAAGAGACTGGTAAAGGTAGGGCAAGTAGTGAATTAGAAAGAAACTACCTGAATGCGCCATGGGAGTCAATAGTATTTTCAAGAAAAATGGAATGTTAATTATATAGAATGTTGCTGAATGGTCAGGTCAAATAAGATATTAAAAATATTGTCTAAAGATTTTAGCATTGCCAGGTGTGGTGGCTCATATCACTAATCCCAGCATTTAGGGATGACGAGGCTGGCAGATCTTGAGGCCAGGAGTTCCAAACCAGCCTGGCCAACATGGTGAAACTCTCTCTCTACTAAAAATACAAAAATTTGCAGGGCATGGTGGCATGCACCTGTAGTCCCAGCTACTCGGGAGGCTGAAGCACAAGAATTGCTTGAGCAATGGGGCAGAGGTTGTGGTGAACCGAGGTTGTGCCACTGCATTCCAGCCTGGGTGACATAGTGAGACTCTGTCTCAAAATAAATAAATAAACAAACAAATAAATGGCATAAAATTGTCTATAGGGACTTTGGCCACAGGAGGTTATAGTGATATGTTAGAAATCAAATAAAAATAAGAGTCTGTTGAAGAAGGAATGAGAGATGAGGAAGAGAAGATGGACTATATAGATAAGAACTGGTTGAATTTTATAGAAGAGGTAGAGCTGTAGCAACAGCTTTATGTGGGATATGCAAAACAATATATAGGGGCTGGTAGGAGTAATTCATAAAAAGGAGATGTTAAAAATACAGAAATGTGAAAGGATAAGATGAATAAAGTACCTCAAAGAGATGGCAGGTTCAGGAATCCAGAACAAATATGAATGATCTTGACTTTATTAGACAGAGGGATAGTTATTACATTCGGGGTAAAAAATAAGGAATTACAGAAGGGGTAAAAAATAAGGAAAGCCCAGAAACCCAGTGCAACTGCAGGTGGATTATTGTAGATTATTGGAAGGAAAATGAGTAAGTTGCCATCTGAAGGTTTCTTAGCTTACAAAGAGATTCATTGGGGAAAAGGATAGGAACTGGTTGTTTAAAAAGAATATAGACCATATTAAAGAATCATAACAGTGACTGAATCCAGCATTGACCTTAGGAGTAAATAAGTTAAACGAAACTGAAGGTGCCTAGAGAGAATAAGGGCAGGGAACTTAGAGATTGGTTCAACCATGTGTGTTTACCATGGCCTTGGAAGCCCTTCATAATGATGACAAGAACTGTGATGGAGAGAAAATCACCATTATCTTCAATGAGCAAGATGTAAGTTACATATTCCCTAGATGACAGCAGCGAGGAGGTGGAAACTGAAAAAGCCTGATAGAGTGGAGCTCAAATTTTCATTAAAATAAAGAAGACTTCATGGCCTGGGACAACAAATAGAAGAGATGACACCAATATTGCTTTGAGACTAAACGCAAAGGAGAAAGTTCCCATTTAAGAAGGCTACAAGGAAGCAAGGCTTATTCTCACTAAAGACATGGTAGTGTTCAGAGAGTGTATTAAAATGCAGAAAAGCCTGAAGGCCACAAATCAAGACTTCAGGGGATACAACAGGAAAGTGTGAGAGGAGGGTAAGTATGGAAGGGTTGGGTCAAGGCAACAGATGCACAAAATATTATGGGATGAAGGATTATGAGTTCATTCTGACATGAGGCCTTTGTTTTGGCAACAACTAGTGTGAACGTGTGTTGAGGTTCAGTGGATTCAGTGGGGATAAAGTCTTAGAACAACAGCTTCCCTATCTGTGTGTTTGTTTCAGAGACAGGAGGTTTTGTTTTGCTTTGTTTCTGTGTAGTCAAGTTTTTCACTAATAGTATGAATGTGCAAGAAAAAGTATTATTGAGAATGATAAACACTGATCATAATAATAAGAAATTTAGGTATTAATGCCTAATTGAAATAGAACCAGTTTTCTTTCTATATGTTAATTTTTGAAGTGATGATTGGGGGTGTCTGGTGAGTGATGCTCTTTCTCTCTATACACAATTAGAGGTAGTCTTAGATTGAAAAAAGATGGATGGCTTATTAGAATAATATAGGTGTTACTCATGGGGAAACTGCTTTCTCTTAGAGGGTGAAATTCTATGATCAAATAGAATAAATACATCACTTTAACCTAACCCCTATCCCCATCCCCCTGAGAGTGCTAAAAAAAACATTTTTGTCTATCCTCCTATATCTGGATATTTTAATGCAAAGAAATATTTATGAAGACATAATATCTTACAGATACATAAAAGGGAGTAAGATTTGTAATTATTTTTCCTAAGTCAGAAACACAAATAAATGTGATAAATTTCTACTTGAATCTTAAATGTTACCAAGAATCAGATTTCTTCTCTTTTACTTCTTCAGAATTATCTATCAGTCTGACAGTGAAAGGACACTCTAATTCCTGTGTAATACCCTGCGGAGTGACATTTGTGTGGAATGTCAAGTTCTGAGAACTAGGTGTTAATGACTATGCTTTCCAAGATATTTTTAATTTAATATGAATTAGTAGATTTGTGTCAGTATATTCCTTTTTCACATGATATAATATTATTTCCAACTTATTTCATGCTCTAGCCCCATCAAATTTCAAAGTGATCTTTTGTTGCACTGGTAGATCTAAGATGATATCAATTATGAATCACAATGTCTTATCAATCAAAACGTTACATATCAGGCTACCTTTCTGCCATGATCAAATATATCCTTAGAAGGCTCAATACTATATATGAAAATATAATATGAAGAGTTTTATTCTCCTATCAGTGAATGCACAGAAATTTTATTTCCACATATATTAATGGGAAAATTACACATTAGTGTCAAGTGTAGAAATAAACCTAAAAAGAATATTAAAGAAAGATTTACCATTACATTTTTTTAAAAGAGGATTAAAAGGTGAAATGCCTTAGCAGATTTTAATATATAAATGATTGTAACTAATTACAACTAAAGATGTTTATAATTTGAGAAAGGCATTTTAAAATTATATAACTATTCCAGTTACAGTCAATATGAGGCTTCGTGTTAGCCAGTATTTCAAAATTGAAGCAAACACTTTATACATATTCATTGACTTAGAGACTGAAGATTTGGTTTGCAGACAAAATTGATCATTCTGCCGAGATGCATGGTGGTCCACAAATGTTGGGTTGGAAGCATATTTTCTTATAAACAAAAATACAAAAGTAAACGTTGCTTTTCTGTGTTTTTTCTATTATTTATACAGCAATTTTCTTGTAATTCAATGATTTTGAAGTTTGATGTGCATTGGAATATTCTGTAGAACTTCTTTAAAAGGCAGAGGAAAGACCATCTCTCCAATCCTAGTTCTGTGCCTGTCTAGGGCTTCCCAATAAATCTTTTGACATCCATTTGACATAACTCTGTACTTCTCGAATTCAAAGAAACACCTTTTCTTTTTCACAATTAACACACATATTTAGTATAGTAATATTTATTTTCTTCCTCTGTCCAACCTGTTTTCAGCTCAATTATGCATTCTATAATCAGTGGTCATTAGGATTCAGAATATGAGGGAACACCCAAGGAAACACCACTACTACACTTCACTATGCTTTATGTATTCTTCCGGGCTGGGCCTCAAGTCTTGGTGAGGAAATATATCCGAACTTCATCCCCTACACTCTGTTGTCCAGTGCCTTTGCACAGTGACAGACTGCATAACCAGAAAGTGAGTGAATTTGATAAAAATGTACTCTTTTCTTAAATTAGGTAAATAGATACTTAAGACCTAATTTGGTTCTAAGTTAAAGTTTCCTTACCTGATTTCTCATTTTCTGCTTCCTGCTAGTCTCTTAGTTTTCCATATTGTCGTCCTGTATAGAATGATCTATTGAGACTGTCATGGGTATTAAAGTTAAGGTATGATAAACTTCTTCTTCAGTGTCTCCAAATGCTTAGAAAGATATTATGTATGAAGTGCACAGTTTTCATAGCCCAAAATTTATTTCTGGACTTCCCTGGTTCTCTGAATTGGTCCATCATCAGATACAGAGATCTGTTCCAGCAGTCACATATCATATGCCTATTATAAAACCTCACAGCAAACTCAGTCTCAGAGATGCAGCTCCATTATTTTATCCATGTGTCATGGTCTTTTTTTCTCATAGTTTTGTGGTATACTCTGCCACTGCTACAGCCAACTGATGTGTATTCTTCCAAATTGTAATCTTCAACTGCACATTACACTGGCTAATTCTGTCTCTTTTGAATTCCTTGATCCTCTTGTTGCAGTCTCGAAACAACAGTGAGTAAGTAAGTAGGAACCCCATTCAAATACAAATTGAAAAAAAAATGGTATTGTTTTTGTGAATACTGCATATATACATTAAGACATTTATACAACAAACCCACGATCTTTGCTGACCTAAATGACTGATTTTACCTCAACCAGACTCATGCCAGTGTTCTTAGAATGGGGCCTAGAGGAGACTGCGTGTGCACCACGTGTGAATTTGGCACCAATAATAAATGTTGCATGCTAGTCATACAGAATTGATAAGAGGCATGAACCTGTGACAGGCAAACAGCACTGGCAGAGCTACAAGCTGGTGGTTGTTTTTAAGTATATTTGAAAGGGCAGTATTTGCAGGGTCCTACTGAAATACATCTCCAATAGCCCACTCAAGGCTTAATCTCCAGTGATGAATATAATATTGCATGTTACTGTGTGGTAGGCATTGACTGAATAATACCATGGATTTCCCGGCTCTCTCTCTCATGCCACCATGTAAAGAAAGTCCTTGCTTCCCCTTCACCTTCTGCCATGATTGTAAGTTTCCCAAGGCCTCCCAGTCATGCTTCCTCTTAAGCCTGCAGAACTGTGAGTTAACTAAACCTCTTTTCTTCATAAATTACCCAGTCTCAGGTAGTTCTTTATAGTAGTGTGAAAACAAACTAATACAGCTGGCAAATCAAGGCATTAAAAAAAAAAAACAACAACAGAGTGTTTTATATCCCCTCTTAGATATGCTAGCATGAGACATGTCCAAAAGTTGGATAAAATGGAGGAGAAGATCATTTGAGCGGCACCAAACCACCAGAGGTGAGGTGAAGCACTATAAGATTGGGGAAATTTGAGGTTGAAACAGTTACAGCAATGTCATGCATTGAAACCTAAAAGGCAGAACAAGGAGAGAAGGAGGTGAACAAGTACCTACCAAAAGCAAGCACAGAATGAGAACAGATTTGAGGATTACATCCACAAACGTGATAGAGGATTTATTCTGTTAGCTGAAGCAGAGACTGGAGCATCTGTTTACCTTCTGTCCTGTGGAAATAGACCATATTGTCAAAGAAGCCATGCTAAGTTAGACACTAAGTTGTGTCCCCTTTCAGACATTTTGGTCTTTACAGGTGACTTCAGTTTCTTCTTTTTTACTGAACTCTTCTCCTTGCAGATTGTTTCAGGTGATTCTCAAAGTGATTTGCTCATTGTTTTGGGTTCTAATTTTCTTCTCTTTGTCAAACTCTTATTGGATCCATTCGAAATATCAGTGATAAAATTCAATTTTTTCCCTTGTGTCTTTCAGTCAATTTCAAACCCAGGTTCCATCATTCAAAATATTCTTATAGCCCATATCCATTTCTCTCTCTTTTTTTTCCTTAGTAACTTCTCTGATCAAATGTTTCTTTTTTCCCTTTTGCATCTTTATTCTTTTTACTCCTGAGTAAATAATATTTTTCCTGCACATATGTCAAATGCTCTGTCTTTTCTCCTTTAGTTCTTTACTGCCAAAGAGCTTAGTCTTACACATCTAAAGACCAAGTTTGAATCAGCAGAGACTGATGAGGAATCAAAGAAATAAGAGACCACACCTCTATGGACTTGTCTTTTCCATCTATTATTTTACTACTTTTTATTCTTTTAATCATAAGTCTATTAATATTCACATTGCTATTACTCATGGAACAGAAGAAGTTAGCATCATCCACTTAATTTTTTTTTTTTTTTGGTTTAATGGTTTATATTAAAAAGTTTGTTTCTTTTACTTGTTCATTTCAGAGGGACAAAAAAGAAAAACTCCAACATTTTAAAAGTGCCAAGCAAAATAAAAATGCTAAACCATACACAAGTAATAAGGAAAAATTTTGTTGTTTCGTTGAGTACAATTTAATAGCATGCTGTATTTGAAAAGTTTTTTTTTTTTAAAAAAAGATTATTCTCTTTAAAGCCTTTCTTCTACAGAAGAGTAAAAGAAAGCTAAGGCAAATAAATGGTATATCTAAGTGGCTGGTATGAGAATCTGTTTCTCCTGACTTTAAACTCAATGCTTCAGAAAATTAACAACAGAAAATTAAAACAGAAAATTAACAACAGAAATAATATATATATATAAAATATATATTATCATACATAATACATGTATTTTAGGTATTATATTAACAAAGGAATCTTTGAGTCAAATTTTACAAATAAATTTCACAGATAGTAGGTAAACAATGAGTTAGAAGTATAAAGACTGGAATGCTTGCTTGAGTTCTAAAAATGATTTCAGGCAATATTAAGTGAAAATTAATTTTTCTTAGCCTAGGTAAGAATGTCACAAGACCCAAGACTGACTAAAAAAATAATGATAAATGGCTATTTATTGAGCTGAGGTGTTAGATACCTAGTAGGGTAATGCAAGAATCAATGTAAGATAGGTTTTATTTAATATGGTCATTATGCTTCAAAACTGTAGTAAGAAAAATGACAAAGAATCTTCAAAGATCGATTCATGAGAAAAAGATTAAAATCACATAGTATTTATAGCTTTGCCAAGAATGACTTGTGGGGAACAATAAATGTTTACAATGATTGTGATTAATTATTTAAAAGGATGAAGCTAGATAAAAATAAGCTAATTTGTTTTTCAATTGTTTTTAGTGTGCTAGAACATAATGTATCTTCTCCAGCTCCAAATTGTGAAGAACATTTCTTTAAGATTAGAAATCATACTAACAGCAAGCATGCACTGAGCTTTTATTATGTGGTAGATATTGTTCTAAAGTGCCTTACATTTATTAACTCCTTTAGTCCTCATGACAATCCTAAGAGTTGGGCACTATCATCTGCAATTGCGGAGAACACTGAGGCACAATATAGTAATACATATTAATAGTAATATGACTTCTTAAAGATGTCTCACACCTTGAACAATGTAGATGCATAATTTAAAACAAGGCAGGCCTACTCAATGTAGGGATAACTAACCGTTACCCTATACTGTCTCAGATTCAATTTCACAGTAAGTATAAAGTAGCTGCAGGAATTATTTGGTACCAGATGCGGGAGATTCAATCCATTCCATTTCTATTATATTTATTGAGCACATAATACATTCAAGAATTGACAGGAGGAACACAGACTCTGATGGAAAAATAAAGTCTCAAGTTATATGTTTTATTTTCTTTCATTAAGAGACTATT
Organism: Homo sapiens; assembly: GCF_000001405.40. Taxonomy (NCBI): domain Eukaryota; kingdom Metazoa; phylum Chordata; class Mammalia; order Primates; family Hominidae; genus Homo; species Homo sapiens. Next base: position 71,221,469 of record NC_000013.11, on the reverse strand, counting down.
AAGTCACACCAAGTCACATCTAGGAAGAAATGACTAATAATAAGTAGCATTTTTATTTTAGTAGCCCATAGTTGCTTTCCTCAGAGAAATAAACCCTCAAAGTCTTAGCATTAACTGTGGAGAGATATTTTGAGTGAGAGTCTTTCCAAGGCCTATACAGTTTATAACTTCAGCAGAAAAAAACATGACTTTCCATAAATAAGCCCTTCTTTCTTGGGGTGTGTCTAGAATTGTTTGAGACACCCAGGCATAGGCCCAATTGGGTTCCTTTCTGTTTACCTTCTGTCCTGTCCTGCTTATTTAATTTGTGCACTTACATACCCCAAATCCTGGGAGAAAGGAGTTTTGAAATTCTTACAGAATATTATTTTTAATTGAATGTGCCCTCTTAAAAGAGCATTTTAATTGAGATTTAATAACTCCATAAAAGATAAATCTAGCTACCATGTAATAAATAGTAATTAATTAGTTAACATCAATTAAATACTAAAAATATTAATTTACATTTAATGTCCAACTACTGTAATTTGCTATAGCTATCTTATTAAATGCTAATTAAATTCTTGAATATTCCTACAAATTTAATGCATTAATAACAAGAACGTAAGTACATATTTACTGTATCTGCACTTCTGAGTTCATTACATGGCAACAAGATTTATCTCTTTTACAGTATTAAATATACTAAACAAACCTCAGTAACTTTTTCTAACACATACCATAGCTGTTTTATTAATTTCAAATTAAATGCTCATTTAGGGTTTCTAATCTACAGCTGCCCCAAACAATTTTCTACTGGCAGACCAAAGGTTATTATATGTTTAATTAAGCTTCATTTTTTAAACTTTGGGTTGAAGCTGTCTCAACATGACTTGGTTTCTTATCGTAGTATTAACCTTTTGATAACAATATTTATTAATATTTTCTATATAGACCATGTTTTTCCTCTCTGCTACCTTTGTACCTTTGTTCACCTTCTACTAAGTCTGTAACTACTAGTATCTTTTTTTCTCTGTTTAGTACAAGCCAGCATTTGTCTTTCTTTCTTTTCCATCATTAAGGAGCACAGCGCTTACTAGCATCCTCTTCAGGTGTCTTTCATTTTCATTAATTACTGCTTAATCGGTAGGTGAACATTCCCCTAAGAATTTTCTTTAAAAAAGAAGAAGAAAAGAAAGAAAGAAAGAAAGAAAAGGGTCATGTGATATTTGTAAGCAAAAGTGAGTCCAGTTGGAAAGGCTGCAAGAGCAACAACGCTCAGCCAAGGTTTCAGCCTCAGGATGATTTCTGAAAGACTAAGGAAAAATACAGTCCTTGCATGTATCAAATGATTTAGAATCTTCAGTCCTTCCAGATATGATGGGGGATGTCATAAAGACAGGAGACTGCTGTGCAGCAAGGAAAGCACATTAGCTATTAACCTTCCCCCAGCCGATCAACTTTATTTTGCAATCTTCCCTCAGAACCATTAGAATACCCTGAAGAAATAACTTTCCAATTAAAAAGGATCTCAGAGAACAAAGCCATTTTATCTCTGACTCCTGGTGTTCTTTATTCCAATAATTTAAATTGGAATTGATTTTTCAATTTAGCCGTTGACTTGCTATGGACACACAGCTGAAAAGGCCGAATGGAATTGCATGGCTGAAATATTTGTCTTTGTGATGCACTTCTCATAAATTCACAGAAGCACCCCCCTCCCCGCCTTTTAAATGCATTTTCTTTCGCTGCTTTTGCCTTAGACAACAGCTTTTTAGCACAGCATGGGCAAACTGAGAAAACACGTCCACCGTGACCTCGGGGGCCTCATCCTCCATTCCTCATAGATCTATCTAATTGTTACATCTCCTGGAAAATAAATAAATCCAGTCTATCCAAAATGATAGCAATTCTTGAAGCCTGATTATTTGTTTTCAAATTTATATAGGAGGCTTAATTTCTTGAAAAAGGAGAATGCCTTTTTAGGATATTTCACCCCAAAAATATGTTGTAATGGAGACTGAACTCTCCTATAATTGCTTTAATCATTAGTAGCTAAAAATAATGGATTTTCAATTAACACTTAATAATTTTGAATTAAATACTCCAAATATTAAATTGTTCTTTATTACCCTTTTATATTTCATAATAAAAGGACTAGGAATATCCAATTATTAAAGCACTTGATTAGCAGGCATAACTTTCTTGTCTATTCACAATTCTGATGGTTTTCTCTGCGTGACCTTAGAAGAAATGCCAGTCTTTGTCACAGTCTCCTTCCTGCTTCCTCACCCTGTCACTCCAGCAGGTGTCTCTACTTTCCTTTGTCTTATAGACTAAGTCCTGTTCTGAGATCGGGACTGATGTGAATAGCAGGTATGGAAGGAAATCCTGAGCAGCTCACAACATTGTTTAATTTTTACTAAACACCATCTTGCTTATTACTCACACCCGTTGAGGTTTTTACTATCATTGTCTTTTATATGGTTTTCTGAATGCATGATCTCAGAACCTGTCCTTGAAAATTGGCACGACAATGTCTTTCACAATATCAAGAGCAAAAGAGAACATAGAACCCACTAGAATGTAAATACCATGATAACATGATCTTTATAAGTATTACTCACCTTTCTCTTCCTTATGCCAAAACAAGGTTTGATGCCTACTTGGTATTCAAAAATCTGCTGAATGTATGTATGAATTATATTGTGTATTCCATCTGACTGTTCTTTCCTATCAGTTATAAATTAATGCAGTGAGAAAAAATACTTGTAGTAAACATGATAAATGTACTTTTGTGCTCACTGACTGTTGTAACAAGTACATGTTAGTTATCACTGCACATTTCCCATAGCAGTATGATAAGGTTTTGGCATTGGTCCTGCACCTCTGGTTATTGCATGACCTACACTTTTAAATGCATTGTGATTAAACAACATCAGCAACACCTGGTGGCATTGGTCATATGCCTAGCAGGAGCATGAGTTCCTTGCCAACCAACATCAGATTGCAGAAGAAAAGGTTTTACAGCATTCATTCATTAAACACATTTACTAAGTCCTATCATGTGCTTGACATTGCACTAAGCGCTGGGGTACACCAACAAATAAACTCAACAGAAACTGCTATCTTCGTGTAGTTTACAATCTAAGGAAATGAGGCACATATAAACAATCATAATTTAAATTATGATAGTAAGTTGAATCACTTTAAGAGATTACAGATGATATAGTAGGTTAAAACGTGAATGGAACAGCATAGGAGGTTCTGGAGTGGGACACGGAGAGTTGCTGCAATTGAAAAATGTCTGGGCTCATGGCAAAGGTACTTGACCAAAGCCTTGTGGCAGGTGAGGGAGGGAGCCTCTTAGATAATCTGGGGCAAGAGACTTCCAGGGAGGAGCAGATGGCACAGGCCCTAACCCAGGAGTGTCCATGGGAGACTTGGCAGCAGGAAGCCAGGGTGGCTGGCACAGAGTGAATGGAGCTAGGAGGAGTTTAGGTCAGAGTGTAACTGATGCCAGATTCTAAAGGACCTTGTAAGCCACTGCAGGGACTTTGGCTTTTATCCTGTGAGAGAAATGGAGAACCATTGGCAGATGCTCCCCAATCGATCTGGCCTACTTTGAATAAGCGAAGTGTTCTCTGCCATAATACCTGGTTATACACATCCTTGCCATAATACCCATAATACCTGGTTATACACATCCTAGCTTTTGCAGGAGGTGAGGGGAGGATTGGGACCATCTCTTAAAAAGAGCTTGTATCTTCACACTGATCTTAAGTTTTACAGAGATTGCACCTTTCATATTCCTCGTCCCTCTTGGCTCTAAGCACTCACTTTGCCCAACTCTGCTCTTCCTTGTTAAACATGAGGGAGAGAATCTTTTTACATTCTTTCCTCACCAAAATGGAGATGACTTGAGGATAGCGGCCACTTTTCATTTGTGAATCTCCGGGGTCTGACACAGAATAAGGGCTTCATATGTGTTTGATGAAATATTTATCCTATTATCCAAAAAAGAAGAAAAACAAATTGTGTAATTACTGCAACTTGGAAAAATTGTGGGGTCTTCCTGCTTAAATTGCATCACTAGATTTTTTTTCTCTTGTTAACTTAGTGTGAAAAATTTCCTGGAGTCTTCCTAACGTAGACAATAATTATATTCCAAGTATCGTTCAGCATTCATTCAGAATGTCGAAAAATTTACTAATTTAAGATTTCCCTAACTTCTGCCATTTCAGGAAATTTGTTTGCTGTCTGTATTCATTCAAGTTTATTCACTCTCATAGAAAACCTCTATTTTCCTGACGTTTAGATTCTCTATTTAGTTAATGACAGAGAGTGGATATGAAACTTAGCTCATTCTTCTGAGGATTCTGTGAAAACTCCGATCTATAGAAAAGTTCCTTATGGCACATGACAGATGAGGAAAGTGAGGAGTGAGAATCTTTCACCTTCTGTACATTAATATATGGAATAGCATACACACACACACACACACACACTTTGAAAATTCAGTCCCTGAGTTGCTTGTCCTGAACCCTTGTCCAATATTCAATAACGTAGACCATCAGTGGATAGGAGCCTACTTGCTCAACATGACAACAGCGTGGCACATCATGTCATCATAATGACGTTCCACAGTGTCACAGGTTAAGACCCTTTATTGTATTTCATGAGACATTTTTATCTTAGTCCGTTGGAGTTGCTGTAACAAAATACCATAGGGTGATTTAAACAACAAACATTTATTTCTGACAGTTCTGGAAGCTGGAAATCTGATATCAGGGTGCCAGTATGATTGGGTTCTTGGTGACAGCCCTCTTCCTGGTTCACAGATGACTGCTTTCTTGCTGTGTCCTCACATAGAAGAGAGAGAGAGAGCTCTGGTCCCTTTATCTTCTTATAAGGGCACTAATCCCATCATGAAGGTTCTACCCTCACGCCCTCATCTAAATAAAATTACCTCCCAAAGACCTCACCTCCAAATATTATCACACTGGGGAGTAGGGCTTCAACATATGCATTCTGGAGGGACACAAACATTCAGTCCATAGCAATATTTAACTCTATATAAAAGAGAGTTTTAAAGAGCCATTTATAAATTGAGTTGCATGAATTGAAAAGAGGCCCAGTTAAGAAGAATTGCAGCAAAATTCCACATTGACAATTATATATACATATATATATATGTGTGTATATATATGTGTGTATATATATATATATACACACATATATATAATATATATACACACATATATATATACACACACACACACACACACACACATATATATATATATATATATATATATAAATGTCTCCTCTAAATTTCAGTGGTATGTATCCAAGGGGGGATGGAGATATATATATATATATATATATATATACACACACACACACACACACACACACACTATGCATATATATGTATATGCATAGTGTGTATATATAATATATCCCAGGATATTAACCTCGCCACAAGAAATTCATCTAGAAATAATATAACAAAGTGGGTGTGGATACATATCTACTCTCTACTACAAAGCAGCAAATCTAAACCATTATGGTGAACTGAAGATTCACCTGACTCTCTAATCTGCTCCTGTCTGGATCATTCATATTTCAGACTCTACTGCTCTTTATCCTTATATTTCATAATATTTATTCATATGAAGATGTCCCTGATGCAGTAAATCCTATCTCCTTTTGACTTCTCCAGGAGCATTGCTTCAGCAGTCTTCCCATCTCTGTTCTGTATAATCTTGTATATTTTCCCTCTTTATTGGATTATTTCTACTAGAATTAAAACATACTGAAATTTCAGCCTAAAACCCCAAATCTCTCTTGACCTTCCACCCTCCTCCAGCTACTATCCTACTTCTTTGCTTTTCTTTACAGCAAAGTTCCTTAAAAAAAGTCATTTACAATTTCTGGCCGGGCGCGGTGGCTCACGCCTGTAATCAAGCACTTTGGGAGGCCGAGGTGGGCGGATCACGAGGTCAAGAGATCAAAACCATCCTGGCCAACATGGTGAAACCCCGGTCTCTACTAAAAATACAAAAAATTACCCGGGCGTGGTGGCAGGCGCCTGTAATCCCAGCTACTCAGGAGGCTGAGGCAGGAGAAGCGCTTGAACCAGGGAGGCGGAGGTTGCAGGGAGCTGAGATTCGCGCCATTGCACTCCAGCTTGGACAAAAAGAGCGAAACTGTGTCTCAAATAAAAAGTCATTTACAATTTCTATAAGCCAGTCGGCTTTGCCCTATTTTCTTTTTAAACTAATTCTAATAAAGTTATTATCTTAACTACTTTACTGAAAATACCCTTGTCAAAGTAACCGGTGGCCAAATCTTACTAAACCCAAAGCTTGAATTCCTATTACTGACCATCAATTAAATTGTGTTTGACACAGTTGATTGCTCCTTCCTCATTAAACATTGTCCGCAATTGTTTTCCCAGACACCACATACTCCTACTTCCCTTTTCCTCACTAGTCTCCTCCCTGACCTTGAACATTTGCAGTGATCCAGAGCGTTTCTCTCGTTTACTTAGGTGCATCTCCTTGGTGCTCTCATTATTTCTTGTGGTTTTAAGTATTCATGAACTGATGCTCCCAGCCTGGACTACTCCTCTGAACTTTAGAATTATATATCTAATTGTCTATTTGCCAACATTATTGCAGTTTGATAGAAGACATCTCCATATTAACACAACCAAAACTTAAGACCTGATTTATCTGTCCAGACTGGGCATTAGGGGACTCTTTCACAATCTCTCTCATCTAAGAAAATGGCCATTTCTGTTATTCTAGCTGTTCATGCCAATAAATTTAAGTCATTATGGAGTGTTCTTTCTCTGCCTCAATTTAATCTATCAGGAAATCATGCTAGCTCTACCTTCAAAATATATGCAGAATCCAACCATTTATCACCATCTCAGACGTAGCCACTCTGACGCAAGTTATCAGCATCTCTCATTTTGACTACTGCAATGATCTTCTAATTGGCCTCAGAATTCATCTTCCACTTTTAAGAACCTATTCGTAACAGAAGAGCTGGAGCAAACCTTTTAATATGAAAGGCAAACCACTTCCCTCCTCTGCTCAGAACTGCCAATGGCTTTTTATCTTACTTAGAGGGAAAGTGAAGTCCTCACAATGCCCTACAAGTTACTCTTGATAATGCTGTACATAGCCTGCATTAATGAGGTGAGAAATATTTAATGAGGGGAAAACCCAAGCTGCCACAATGTGCATTTGACTTCTCCTCTTTCTTCCAGCTACCCTGATCTTACCTTTCTTTAAACAAGTTGGACAGGAGTCTGCCTCAGGGCCTTCACACTCTCTGTTCCTTCTCCCTCACACACTTTAACTCACTTCATCATGTTCTTCAGGAATTTTTTCAAATGTCTCTTATCAAATACAGTGATATGTATACAAGGGGGACACATTCCAAGACCCCAGTGGATGCCTGAAACGACAGATAATACTGATCCCTATGTTTTTTATCCTATATATGCTCACCTATGATAAAGTTCAATTTATAAATTTAACATAGTAAGAGATAATAATAAAGTGGAAAAATTATAACTATATATAGTATTGAAAGTTATGCAAATGTAATTTTTCTCTTTCTCTCAAAATATCTTATAATCTATTCATGCTTTTTTTTTCTTGTTATCATGTGAGATTATACAAGTCCTGTGTGATGAGATAAAGTGAGGTCAATAATGTAGGCATTGTGGAATACAGTAGGCTGCAATTGACCTCAAACACAAGCACTGCCATATGGGACAGGTAGTCTTATAAGAAAGATGGCTATTAAATGACTAACAAGTAGGTAGTGCACACAGTGTCATGTGCTGGAAAAGGGAGGACTCACTCCTGTCTCAGGCAGGATGGCTCGAGATGGTTTGAGATTTCATCATGCTACTCAGAATGGTGCACGATTTAAAACTTATAAATAGTTTATTTTGGAAATTTTTCTTTTAATATTTTGGGACTGTGGTTGACTATGGTAACTGAAACTATAGAAAGTGAAACTGTGGGTAATGGGGACTTCTATAATACCTTCTCTCACCACATTTCAAAGTGTACCCCTTTCTCTGTCTCAATATCCACTCTCCTAATTTATATTTTCCTCACATTTATCACCATCTGACATATTATATTTTTATTTACTTATAATTATTTGTCTCATAAAGTACATGTAGGCAGAGATTTCTGGACATTTTTTCTTTGTAGTAAGTATTTCCTGAAAGACTAAATGATTGAAATCAGTTTAAGAGCTTTTTTGCAGATAACTTACGCTTGTGGCTAAAAAATAACTTCAAATTTAATTTTAATTGATGTCTTTTTTATTTCTTTGGAGATTTGTTCTCTGTTATGTACCAAATAAATGCATACTAAAATTGATATATTAACCTAGGAATAATTTATTTCTCTCTAATACTTTTACTTGAACTTACATTTGTGTTCTCTGTCATAAACATATTTTGACATGGAGAATCAAGTTATGTTTGGGTTGGAACAAAATATGAACTTTAGAATTGAGCAGAAAATTATATTTTGGCATCTAATAAACTATTTCTCACTAGATTTGTGTAGACTCTCTACTAAAAATTCATTCTTTCCAATTTATTTTAATTATCCAATAATTTTGCAACAGGGTTTTATGTTATGTCGGTGTGTTCAGTTTTTTTTTTTTTTTTTGAGGTTTTTATCTAAAACTATTTTAGTAATAGTTGTAAAGTGACTTAAGGCATCTAATATTAAGTGCTGGGCTCCAAAATAACAAATTCATCTAAATTTTCTTCAGGTGAGTTTCTCTAAATGTAAAGCCATGGCGATGAAAACAGCATTACTGCTAATGTGAAAAAAAGACACCATTGTTAACCTGAAAATAAAATTTTATACAAAAATACTTTCCTGTGTGTCCCAACATTTCGAGGTTTAGGTAATTAATGATGGGACCATTGCTTTAAATGCAGAGGTACTTTACCAAAAAATATGCCTAAGTGTAGAGTAAAAGCATTTTGGGCACATTATTTGCAAATGGAACTGATACACTCTTTAAAAATAAGATTATTCTACATTGCCATTTGGGACTGTCGATCTTATAACAAAGACGACTACTATGCTATGTTTCCTGACTTTATGACATACTGTTATAAACAAAACTTGATAATTAATCAGAGCTAAAAGGAAAAAGTTCACTTTCTTGATAATATAGATATAAATGGCTAGTGGACAGAAATTGGGAAATGGAAGAAGAAATAAATGGTTAAGGGTAGAGTAAACAGATAAACATCCTCAAGAAAGATAACTTGAGGGAATCAAGACATTTTATTTATTATGGAGGAGGAAGAACATTTCTGGAAGTCTTGAAAAACCAAAATTTCAGAAAAGCAAAACAATAAATCTATTAGAAATTAGGAGGAGGAGGCAGGGATAGTCCGAGTTATCTAAATCTTCCTTTATTTGGCCACAAATAGGATCTAAAATTAGTAAATCTACAAATCAATATAGAAGACTGTTGTGTAATATTATGAAGAAAATCAATAAATAAAATCAGAAATCATTTAAAAATCGGTTAAATAATTGAAATAGCAGTGAGACGAAGTGATTTTATTGTTATTACTTCTGATATGGTTTGGTTCTGTGTCCCTGACCAAGTCTCATGTCAAATTGTAATCCCCAATGTTGGACGTGAAGCCTGGTGGGAGATGAATGGATCATGGGGGAATATTTCTCCTCTAGTGCTGTTCTTGTGATAGTGAGTTAGTTGTGGCAAGATCTGGTTGTTAAGTATATAGCACCACCCCCAACTCTCTCTTCCTCCTGCTTGGGTCCTGTAAGATGTGCCTGCTTCCCCTTCTCCTTCCACCATGATTGTAAGTTTCCTAAGCCTCCCCCACCACCAATCATGCCTCCTGTACAGCCTGCAGAACTGTGAGCCAATTAAACCTCTTTTCTTTATAAATTACCCAGTCTCAGGTATTTCTTTATAGCACTGCAAGAGCAGACTAATACAGGTTCTGAACTTTTTGTTTCCTATATGCATACTATCATTTTGACAAAGATTTTAAAAGTAAAGTGAAAAAAATCAAGCTTTGTAAAGGATGGCATTAACTAAATCACACTCCCAATGTGTATTCAAAATAATGTGCATTAAGAACTAGAAACCTATCTGCAAATATATATTAAAAGCATAGAAACTTCTTTTAACATGTTCTCCCTTTAAGAAGTATTTGTGAATGTGTGCTAAGGTGAGAACTAACCTCAATATTTAAATGGTTTTAATTGTGAATAGTGTCTTTCTTTTCCCCCAGCTCTAAGTGTGGAAAGAAAAAAAAAATCCCTACTTATTATTATGTTCACCAACTGCCAAGAAAAATATTGGATTTGGATCAGATATCTAGCAACAGAAAGCATTAGATTTGCTCCAGAAAAAATAATGATTTGGCAGGATATTTTTAGTAGAAAAATAGGAAATGATTTGGAAAATAAACATTAAAATAGAGAAAGCTGAAAACAACAGCTGGATTATTTGATCCTCAGTGACTTTTCCATTGAAGTCTGAGTGACTGATGGAAAAGGAGAAGAATAAAGTAGGGCTGGGATATGAGATCAGGAGAGAAAGGAAGCTTTTATTTTTATGTTTCACCTGAGTTAACTTTTGAAGGCTATTATGACATTTTCCTACAGGTAAATCTCAGTTTAGATGAGAAAAATAAAATTCAGTGAATAAAACTCTTTGTATAAGACTCAAAACTATTCAAATCCCTAGAAGGAAACTGTGCTTTGAGTTGTTTTGAAAATAAAAATCTTGGAATATTTCGATGTTTCTTCTAAACAATTTTAACACACATTTTTTTAAATCATCAAGTAAGCAAGAAATGGCTGCTCTGATTCCACAGGGGTCTGCTTGTCTACTTCAAAATGCCTACTCTTCCAAAAACTTATTTTATTCTACTCATTGTCTATTGCTGCACTGAAATTGACAGTAGTGTTAGCGAATAGCAGGTGTGCAGAATGATTTGTTTAAGATATTGAATAACTTAAGAGAAAAGACAGATTATGAGCATGTGTAAGATTATAAACATGAACAGATTAATGCAGTTAAAGATCTCCTTCCTGGGACTAACTTGGACTATCTTGGGAAACAGCTTTGGAGAACATGTGACATCTTTTAGTGGAAATGTTGTGGCGACTTCATGTGAATAGGAATAACTCCCTATTCACTTGCTCCTTCTATCTATAGGTAGAAAAATTGGTTAGAAATCTAGCTGCTAATACTTGATGTTCCTTGAATCTGTAAATGTGGATCTAATGTGTCACCCTCCCAAACTTTCAGTTCTGTTGTAGGTTAGATTATTGTTTCCATCATTTTTTGTTTTCTTTGTAAGTGGTTTATATATCCACACCTTTGCCATGGAACTTTGTAGCACCTTACCTCTAGGCAGAAAATGCTGGCCTACTCCACTGGTTTTGGGCATAGTCATCTGACTTGCTTTGACTAATGAAATGTGAGCAGATGTGGAGCCAAACCAAGAGCAGAACTCAACTGAGCACAGGTAAATTTAGCCAAGCCTAGTCAAGCCTAATAGAGCCCAGCTAAATTCAACAGCAGCCAGCCAAGCTCCTAAAGGGGTACGGCTGTAATGTGACATGAGCCAGAAACCAATGTTTGCAGTTAGAAGCCACTGAGAACTTGGACTTGTTCATTGGTGCAGCAAATGGTGACTAACGCATGCTACTATTTCTGTAAATGATAACCATTGATACATACAAAAAAATAATTTTTTAATGAAATAGCAAATAATGAGTTGGGAATGGGGATCAATAGACAGAGACATAATTTTTAAAATTGTCAGAAATTATTGCTCTTGGTTTTCACTCAAATATGTATTAACTGAAGCCTGATCTTGAAGTTTTCTTTCCTAAATTCATTCTTTGAGAATATGATGGCAAACTCTGTAATTCTAATTGGAAGTGAGCCTGCCCAATACTGTGTGAATTGGAAGCAATACCAAGTTACGTAAACTTTGACCTGAGGTGGATTTCAGCTTATAAACTACTAGGGTTGCACAAGCAGTCAGGTCATGTTGTCTAGCCTTAGAGTGATTGGTATACATACTTTGAACCCACTTCTTAGGTACTTGATACAGTAGGCATCCCTCGTGTTTTTTATTTCTTTGTCCATAGACTTTTTTTTTCCTTGATTGAATTTAATAAATATAAACTGTCTATGGCTACAAGCCAGTACTCTTTTGTTAGTAAATTACAGAACCTATTCATTCTAGCTTTTACAAAGCTGAGGTTTCATCGAATCACATGCTGGGGACATCCAAATGGCATCTCGACTGAAATAATGATCTTGATCACCGTTGCCTCCCAAATATCAGCTTTCACAGTTTTCTTAACTCTACATCTTTTTACTTGCTGGCCTCTTTCTTCCCTGACAAAATAAGGCTATCTCAATGTAATGTGAAAGATGGCTGCTGAGCCTCAAGCTAACACATGTAGGTCTACATTCCAAAAATAGTAAACAGTCTTGCTACCTAGCTTTAGCGAAAAGCTCCAGGGAGATCTCTGATTGGTTCAACCTGAGCAACATATCCCAGGAGATTTCTTATTGGCTCATCCTGGACCCTTTGTCTACCAGTGTGACCCATTGTGTTCTATGCTTTTACTGATTGTCCCAATGAAAACACATAGAATAATTAAGGATTGTCACAAATGAATCAGAAGAATAGACTTTATAAAAGACTCCCGCCTGTAATCCAAGCACTTTGGGAGGCCGAGGCAGGCGGATCACGAGGTCAAGAAATCGAGACCATCCTGATCAACATGGTGAAATGCCATCTCTACTAAAAATACAAAAATTAGCTGGGCGTGGTGGCACACGCCTGTAGTCTCAGCTACTCGCGGGGCTGAGGCAGGAGAATCGCTTGAACCTGAGAGGTGGAGATTGCAGCGAACAGAGATCACGCCACTGCACTCTGGTCTGGAGACAGAGAGAAACTCCTTCAAAAAAAAAAAAAAAAAAGACTCCCAAGTAGGCCAAATTTTAAATTATTCCTCTCTAACAAAAACCCACTGCCAATGCACTTAATTGGCTCCCGTCTCGGAGGGAGAAAAACAAGTATCTTGCAGTTATTCCCATTTTTCTTACTTTGAGTAGCAATGACTTTGGCCCTTGGGATTCTTGCCCTTATTTCATCTCTAGTCTGTCTATTCATTTTGTTTTGTTAAATGACTTGCTCTAGCTAAAGCTATTTCTACCTTGGCTGATAAGAATAGTTTCAAACTAGTATATGGGCTTATGAAACAAGTGAGAAAATGTTTTACAATAACAATCATCAGTTTCTTGTTTAAGGTAATAGTATATGTGATTGTCAATGAAAAATTAGATCTTGGGGATTACAGTAAAAGATATTTGACATTTACCAGGAAGAAAGAAGGGAAGAATGGGAAGAAAGAGAAAAGTTCAATGAGGCATTGGAACCAACCTAACTGCTTAAAGACACTCTGCTCCTAAATATAATCCTTCCCAACTACCCCAGATCTTTACTACAGTTATTAAAAATCAAGAAATGACTGTAGTATGTGAACTTGTGCAGGAGAAAAATAAGGGACTGCTTTTTGCATTTAGATAGAGTCAAGCTAAGTTGGCACAATGGGCAACGGGATGGTCCTCAAGGCAGGAAAGAATGAAGAAAAAATATGAACTATATGCAATTTTCAAAATGGTGTAGAGGACTGTGGCTTCTCCTAAGATGTACATCTTGGGGGGTCACCAAAGCTAACAAAATATCTGAGAAGCAGGAAAGCCATAATTGACTTCTCATTTAGCAATGTCTTAAATCAATATCTCTATAGACTGAGCAAGGAAATCTGAAGTATTTTAGTCTCATGATTGCAAAGTATTTTCGACTACCACTTCCTGGCACCCCACAAAGTATAAACACCCTAAAATATTGGGTGAATGAAAAAGAAATCCCCTTGTGTGTATCACATATTGCTTCTATCACATAGTGTCTGGTCTGATCTACTCTAGTTTAAAGTAATGTTTAACTTAGCAGCTTGAAACAATCATTTATTTTCTCATGATTCTGTGGATCAGCAATTTAGGCTGGGTTTCACTGTGCTCAATCATACATTTGGACCTCAGCTAGGATGGAGGAGATGTCTGGGACCTCTCTCTCCATATCCTTTGTTACCCTTTAATATACTAGCCCTGGTTGTTTTTTTTGTTTGTTTTTCTTTGTTTGTTTGTTTTTTAATTTTCCACACCAAGACAAAAGGGTTCCCAAAAGCAAGAGAAAGCAAGGCCAAATGCACAGGCACTTTAAGTCTCTGCTTGTATCACGATTGTAATAGCTCATTGATTGAAACAAGTCATATGCTCCGGCTCAGAATCAATGTGGGTAAGGACTATACATGAAAACTGTTAATGTAACAGTCTACCAAAAACATGTCATTACTGATTATGAAAACTTCTGAGGCGATGCTACAAGTTTAGTTTCTTTAATGAAGACTATCTTTGAGGATAAGGGAGGGTGTGTGTGCGTATAGATTATCTGAGGCTAACATACAGAGGAAGAAAGTTGCATTAGCCTGTTCTCATGCTGCTAATAAAGACATACCGAGACTGGCTAATTTATAAAGAAAAAAGGTTTACTAGACACACAGTTTCACATGGCTGTGGAAACCTCAAAATCATTGCAGAAGGCGAAAAAGGAGCAAAGACACATCTTACATGGCAGCAGGCAAGAGAGTGTGTGCAGGGGAACTGCCCTTTTATAAAACCGTCAATTCTTGTGAGACTTATTCACTGTCACTAGAACAGCAAGGGAAAAACCCACCACCATGATTTAGTTACCTCCCACTGGGTCCCTCTCACGACATGTGGGGATTATGGAAACTACAACTCAAGTTGAGACCTGGGTGGCGACACAGCCAAAGCATAACAACAGTTAAGCCCTTTTGCAAAAGGCTTTACTTCTGCTTAGAGAATGAAATGAAAAATTGACCCCATGAGGTTTTCAAGATGAGCACAGCAATAGTTCCGTGTCCACATACTCTTTCAGAACTTTTCTACTACTGTCTGATCAAATGGAGCAGTCTCCCCTTAAAATTGGTCTGGATTTTGTGATTGTCTCATGGATAAAATGCAATTAAGTGATGTATGTGACTTTTAAGATTAGGTCTTAAAAGGTGGCAGAGTCTTTTTTTCTTTCTCTCTCCTCTCACCAATGAAACCTAGGGCACCATGCTGTGAGGAAGCCTCAGCCACCTGGAGAGGCCATATATAGAAGAAGTTCCAACCAACTACCTAGCTAAGGTCCTGACCAACATTCAGCCCAGCCAACATGTAGTAAAAAACACCAGAAATACAAGTCAATACACTTATATTTCTTCACATGATACTGTAACTTAGCTTTGGAGCCACCTCACTTGCTGCCAATTGAAACACAGTTGAACTCTCCACAAAGCCTTGCCCAAATTACAGACTCATGAACAAAATAAATGTTGGTGTTATTTTAAGCAACTATGCTTTGGGGCAATTTGTTATATAGCATTAAATAACCACAACAGACCATCTATCCCTTTCTACGTGAAACTTCCTGTGAAAATCAGTGGAAGATTCTTAGGATTAGGGTAGTTGTGAAGTCTACTGTTTATATCCACATGTGTAATAACACACAAAGTATGAAAATGTCCGTATTTTATGGGGAAAATAAAATAATGTCGCACAAATTTAAAGCATGCATAACATAAGATGCCATTAAATGCTACAAAATAAAGTTATGGAAAGAGAAGTCTTCATCTAATAATGAAATTGTCAAATCAATGATAGGCTTTCAGAATTTTTGAAGTTGTAAGTACAAATACATACAGCCATTGTCAAAATAAAATATTTCTCTTTAAGGACTTATAATTTCTTAAGGTGTAATGAAGAGATGTACAGGTAATTTCAGAGATAATCTAGGTTAAAGAAGGAAAGTTGGGACACAGGGATGTTAAATCCTTGTATGATTACTAAAGTAGTAGTGCAAAAAATGAAATTCAGATCTTCTGCTTGACATTCATTTGTTTTATGCTATGATACTTGTCTTTTTATTATTTTTCTTAATTGCTAGTAAGTATGATTTCCCTCTCTTTTTACTTGTGTGTGTGTGTTGGGAGGGTATGTTTAATCTCTACTAGGCTAGACATTACTTAAAAAATATAGAGTCTAAAATCACATTTGACATTTACAATAATTATAAAGAATGAATGATTAATTTATAGTTTTATTGGTTTTGTGTGATCTCCCTCAATTTAAGAGAGGTGTGTCAACACAACTGGGTATTTTAAACTTATTGGAGGAATGGAGCAAGTCATACATTTTATTTAATGAGGTATAACCTGAGTTTTCTAATGTATAGTACTTTAAATACTTAGCTTTCTCACTGTAAGTGGAGTTACAGCAAGGCATCTGGCTAGGGGAAAAAAATCAAACAAATTGTATTGTGTGACATCGTTGGCCTTATGCAGAGATTTTGGGTTAGGTATAAGTGAGATTTGCTTAAGCAGTGCTTCTCAAAATTTGATGTATATACAAATCAACTTCTGAATTTTTAAACAAGAGTGTTCTGATTTAGTAGACACTGGGAGGAGCCTGAGTTTCTGACTGTCTAACAAGCTCATAAGTGACACCTATGTTTTTGGTCACTATGTTGCTGGGCCACGCTGTTAGTTGTAATAGACTAGAGATAGGAGGTCAGATAGTCATCATACTTTGTCAGTTGTATCTCAGAAGCAAACCTGACAGGTGGTTAAATAGCTTCTGATCACCTATATGAGTAACGAAATCTTCTCCACCTGGGAGCCCTCTGAGTCAATTTCTGTGAGCAATCTCAAGCCTTTTCAGTATATTCATACCTCTCTTGGTAGACATAGGTTTGCTCTTGCCTTTTGGGGTACCGATCCTTGGAGATCTTCCGTTTATTGCTCCTACCATTACTCTTCTTCCTCTTCCTTTTTCTCTTCATTATGCTGTCATCGCACTTTGTTATCAAATGAGAACGGAACATTTATTTGTCTTGGGTAATATACTTTCACTGAGTTTGAATTCCAGGGTCAAAATTTGTTTCTGTCCATTCTAATGCTCTTTCTTAAAATTAGAATCTTCCTTCTTTGAGGCCCTCTGCTATCTCCTGGCCTCACAGACGTTAAATGTTGTAAAGGCTTTGACTGAAGTTTATGTTTTAATATATAATTTTCCATTAGATACGAAGAGACATATACATTATAGAAAATACCTTAATATTAAAAATATTATTTACAATTTAAATGTCTTCCGATTCTCTTCAGTCAGAAGTTGATCTTTAAATATATGGGCAAGACCTAGACATTATATGTGAAGGCTTTTCTCTCCATGTTATGGTACATAGCACACAGCTTAGAACATGTTAGATGCTAAATATTAGCTTGAGTAAATGAATGAGTAAACTCTTAAGTTAGTGGATGAATTATGGAATAGTTTAAAAAAGAGAATTATCTGGTCAGGTATTTAAAATATTCTATTTAAAAGAAACATAAGTAATTTGTTTTAAAGGTAAAAATGTAATAAAAATGTTTTTAATTTCCAGACATAGCCTGAAAGCAATGCAATACACTTGAAATTTTATTTAACATGAAATTAGCTTAAAGACAAAATAAATTCTTCTGTCCACTTATTTACCTAACATACACTTGCTTCCTTGGAAGTCATAGGCATCCACATATCTTCAGCCACAACTTGGTATTTCTAATATAATTCTTATTTTTGAACTCCTAAACTTTCTGG
Source organism: Homo sapiens (assembly GCF_000001405.40). Classification (NCBI taxonomy): domain Eukaryota; kingdom Metazoa; phylum Chordata; class Mammalia; order Primates; family Hominidae; genus Homo; species Homo sapiens. Next base: position 71,203,649 of record NC_000013.11, on the reverse strand, counting down.
TAGAAATCTTCAGTTGAAAATATCCTGGCAAGTAAAATTAGAAACTCCCAGAAATGTACTTATTTCTATTATGTTGTTTTATTTCTGAACATTGTGCCCAACATTCTTTTCCACATACTTGCCCAAATTGGAAAACTAGGGTTCTAAGTTTCCCCCTCCATCATTGCCCACATTTAATTCACCCTAATAATACCTGACATCTTTCAAGTTCATTTTCTACTATCTATCCCCACGCATGGCCATTATCTTGGTTTGAAGCTTCATTATCTCTATAGATTAAAAACAAAAACAAAATGCATACAAGCAAAACAAATAACATACAAACAAAACCCACCTAACTCATCTTTATGTAGTCAGTTCTCCCTCAATAGTTTTGCCAGACTTCCTAAACCGAAATCTGATTGTGACTATCCCCTTCTAAATGTATTTAATCAGCATACCCCTTCAATAAATCCATTAACCGTTCTTGTTATCCAAGACAGTTTGTCATCTGTCTTGGATAACAAGTTGCAGACTCCATCCAATGCCATTTTCCCCTAGAAATATAGATAATGGCACTATAGGAACAATGATCTCCACATGCCTCATGCATTGGTAATTTTTTTAACCTTTGCTAGAAATGTTCTGCTCCACTCTACTCATCCACCACCCATTCTACTCCACCTTACACTACCTCTTTTCCCATTTAGATCTTCCATTCTATATCTCCTTGCATGAAATTGTCCATACCTGCTTAGTACTCATCTCATTATTTTGTCATTGTGCGCATATCTGTTCATATGATTTCTTATGGAAGTTATTAAGTATTTTGATTTCTGTTTCAGTCAGATTTCCAACAGAGAAGTAGAACCAGTAGAAAATATATCTTAAGATACTTATTGGAGGGAATTAACTTACATGGTTGTGGGAACCGGCATAGCCGTCCTAAAATTTATATGGCTGACTATCAAAAAAGACAGGCTGGAACTCTTAGGCACAGGCAGAAGTTGCAGTTCACAGGTGAAATTTGTTCTTTATCCTGGAAGCCTGGGCTCTGCTCTTTAGATTTAGCAGCTGACTGAATCAAGTCCACCTAGATTACCTAGGATAATCTTGTTTACGATTATGATTATCACTACCAGTTATCAACTGATTTTGAACTTCATTCACATCTACAAAATACCTTCATAGGAACATCTAGATCAGTGTTGGATTAAATAACTATCAGCTGTAGCCTAGCCATGTTGACCCATCAAAAGACCATCACAATTGCTGATATAACTTTAATAAAATTTGCAACATTTTCAGATGGAAGAATTGAGAAAAGGGAAGCGGGCTGACTTTTCATTTTAGAATTTATTATGCATTAACTTAAAGTAAGTAATAATTATGTAGGTGATCATTTTGATATTTTAACCTACTTAATTTAGAAAATCATTTAAAATCATTTTTGTTAAGACTACAAAATGATTTTGGGTAAAAAAAAATTTTACCAAATATCAAGATCACAATAATCACTTAAAATAGTTACATATGTAACTAACCTGCACAATGTGTACATGTACCCTAAAACTTAAAGTATAATAAAAAAAATAAAATAAAATAAAATAAAAATAAAAAAAATAGTGACATACGTAGAGATATATATACAAGAAAGTATGAACTAGGGTCTGCTTTGTTATGCTAGAGAATTAAACATAAAAGTTAAATGTAGGATATAAAAAACAAAGATACAGAATTTTATCAAGTTTACAAAACGTTTTTCTTTGAAAAAACTTTTTACTGAAAATATATTGACTGTGTGAATTAATTGTGAAATATCAAGATAATGAACAGACATTTACCATTCTAAATAAGCTGATATTATTGTGAATAATTATATGTAACAATTATTTTACTGATTATGTGCAAAATGACATTTTTTAGAAATAAATATATCTTACTTTTGAACAATGTACACCTAACATATACTGCTTTCAATGTGTCAAATTAGTTTTACAGTTAAGAATGAACCCTGGATTATAACTTTAGGCACCAAGATAATTAAATGGAAACATATCAGATCTATGTAATTTAAATATTCAAATGATTAATGATCTTAATTGATATTCTAATTATTATTTTTTTCAAAAAATTTAAAATCTTAAATAAATAAAAATATTGGTATACATTTTATTGCTTAAAAATACACATTTTACATCGTACTAACACATGGCTATTGTAATACATGAATACATAATATAAATAATAGTAAAATAAATAATTTTATGCATGTGTTAATTTTAATATCTATCACTGCTATAATTATGTCATAAATAACAGGGTGGCTTAATAGCAAAAATATTTGGAAATAATTTGAAGAGGGACCCAAAGAAAAATAAGTTTACAATTTATGTGTTTAAAAGTTAATGTAGACTTTTAGGGCATTCACAGGTAGAAGAAGGCAACAGATACACTCCCCTAGTCTAGCACATCCATACTCATAACATCTATTTGCTTTGCTTTGTCAAAACATATGAAAAATCATTAAAGTGTTTTAATAAATGTCTGGTTTTCCTGCTCATTCATCTTATAAATATTAATTAGCCATGGATCAGGCAATTAAAGTTTAATCAATTTGCACTAATTAGCACCACATACTTGCATAAAAAGATAAAACCAACTCCTGCATCTGGCTGTTATTTGCAGTTTTTGTCAAGTGCTGATGAGTTTAATCTTGAAGGGAAGATTAAGAAGAAAAGAAAAAATAAATCAAGAAAGTAGTGTTAATTTTATTAAATTTTCACTCAAAGCAGTGGTCACGAGTATCATGGAGATAATGCCAGCAACATTACACTTTTTAAAAATCTACACCTGATTCCACCAGCTGCTTCTTCATAGCCTTGTCCAGTGAGGAGGGGGCCACATATCTTCTCTTTCTGACACTGCTATCTGCTTTTTATTTAACCTTTTTGATAAATCCAAATCTGACTCAGTTCTATCCTTTGTGACTTAAAAATTTTAAAATGAATGGTCCTCACAGTCATAGCCTTTAAGGATCAACTCTCTTCCTTCAGAGTGAATGTGAATGTCCACATTGAAGATACAGTTTAAAAATTATAGCTTTATAAATGAAATTGAAATGTTCTTTACTAAATATTATGTGTGAGTGTGATGGTAAGAGAGAACTCTGGAAGACTTAAAATTTGTATTCTGACTTTTTGTACGTATATCACAGCTCAATACGTTTTTGTCCCACATAGACTTTAGGAGACTGACTCCTGTTTCTCTGTCTTTGACTTCTGAATTTGATTAAATAAATTACACTGCCAATCTAGTAAGGAGACATTGTACAGTGCATTTGCATTACTATTTTGTGTTTTAATAACCAGAGAAAATAAAGTGATCCATTACTGCCTATTCATATAATTGACAAGGATTATAGGGAATGGAACTAGTCTTTAATCACTGATGGAAATTTATCTTAGGCTTGGCAGGTAAAACTACACGTTTTAAGAAGATTTAGCATTGTACTAAAAAATAGAGCATGATTCATAAAAAAAGCTATGCACCATTTATATAGAGATTTTTATTCAGTTTATGCAAGAATAGACCACTGAATGGTTATTGATATTTTTCAAATAAAGTATGTATGATTCATTAAACTCCCTATTCCCTTGTGAAGCCACTGCTCTGTTAAGCCCTCTTTGAGTACATATCCCATAAAGAAAGCAGAGGCAGAAAGGGAGGATGTCATGCTTCAATGCCTTCTTTTTTAAAAAGTGCCTAAAGACAAGATCACATACAGTAACAGATAACTCTCTAAACTACCATCTGGATTTCAATACATGCGATTTTCACATGGTTGTTGAAAAAATGTGAATATGTTTTTTGTTAGTACATTACATGCATGCTGGTCTAGAGACATACACACCTGTATACACTTTAAAAGTAAGACTTCGAACCAAAATTCAATGCTCTAGAATCTTTCTGCTACGAATGAAATAGTACATGAAAAAAATGCATATAAAATCTAAATTACTATTAAAAAACATAGCTTCATGGGCAAAGAAAGATGTCACTGCTATGCTTCAGTAGCCTCCTAATGAACACATTCCCTATCTTCTTATATTAATAATATTTAACATCCCCAGCCTTATATTTACAGGTTAAGGGAAACTAGAATAATATGTTAAGAAGATCTGAATATTCATTAATTCTCTGTCCCATTCAAGGCTAAAGACTTTAGGAAATGTTTTTACTTTCCTATCTTTCTAATTTTCTTTTAATTCCCTATCTTTTCCCATACACATAGGGGTTTATTTTCTACTTTGTTCAACAAGTATTTTTTGGCCTCACATTTGTGCATGGCAGTGGTGTAGGGAGCCAAAAAAATATCACTTGAGAAATGATAGAAGTAAATCAGTATGCTAAGCCTGGAAGGATGGATGTTACAATTTTCTTCAAATATCTAAATATTTATAACATGGAAGAAGACTTAAATCTTACTCCCTTTTATTCCAGGAAGAAGAGATGGATAGAAGCCATAGGAAAACAAACATTTACTTTGTGTAAAAAATAACCCTTGAAGATAAATGTGTGACATTTAAATGGTTTGTCATGGGAAGCAATGACTCCAATCGATCCTTTACAAAGATGCTTTGTGAGGAATATCGCTAAAGAATAGAATTGAACACCAGTTGTAAGATCCCATGCAAAAATTAAAATATGATATAATTGTTTAAAATATCATTGGATAATATCCTCCCTTCAGAAAATAAATTTATAAATTGCTAAATATGATACACAAATAATGAACTATAATTTCCCTAGCCATTTAATTTTAACACAAAGAAATTCCCATTGACATTATTAACCTGGGTCTTCAAAATAATACTCTCCTTTGTAAGTTGAGGGCCAGATACTGAGGAGTTCCCTGTTTGGTGAGCTATCTCTGCAGAGCCAGAATAAGCCAGTGTTTTTAAAATAGAAGAAGAAAAAGGAGAGGTAATCACAATTAATGTAGCCCAGCTTTCTGACACTGTGGGCCTTACAGATCTCAGATTCTACATTTCTCTGAGAGAAGAAAGTCCATGTAAAAGTAATGTTGGCTTTAATTTTTCTTCTCAGGCCGTTTCCATCCATATATATTTTTGTGAGAATATAATTGAGAAATAATTGGATTTTTATAGCTTACTCTAGCCTACTCAATAGGGTTTTTTCTCTTCTACTTATATACTATTTACTAGAGGGATCAAAACTATAGAGTGGAAGAACTCTTCTCCAGACAATTAAAAATACCATTGTTCATTATCTGAAAATAGTCATCAGGCATAAGTGATACAATCAGATATATTTAAAGAAAGCAAATGAAAGCTTAAGAATAGTCAAAGGATAAAGACAGCACATATACTTGAATTTGTTGATATTTTGTCCTATTTTTAAATAATATAATTCATAAACATTGCATACAATTATTAATTATGAAGATATAAAATAACCTATTAAATGCTAGTAAAGTCGGTAGGTTTAAAGAAGAAATCTGTCTGTTGTAGCTTTTTATAAAACTGAATGGCATAATAATTCTTTTTTATCTGAATCTAATTTAAATTCACATCATAAAAAAAATACAGCAGTTGTGTTATTATTTCTTTAAAACAGTAGAAATTATCTAACTTTCTACTTTTTTCAAGAAATAGGTGAATCAAAATTGCTTCTCGGGACAGATACAGATGCAAATATGTCATACCTATACATATCTTCCATATGAGTTCATTTTGTAATAAGTTTCTTCTGTAACTTATTACAAAAGAATTATACATATTTACATAACTGTCTAACATAACTAAAAGATTATTTGTCCTGTTATCAAATTATATTTTTCTCTCTAAGATTTCATGTTGAAGACTTCTTAAGTGAATTCTTTGAATATAATATCTTTGGAGTATGAATGAATTTTCCAAATCACAAATGAAATCTCTCTGGCAACTAGTATAAAAGATCTTATTTGCCCCTTGGTACATACTCTTACATCCCATTAAGATGTAAGGAGGAATAATAATGCAGGGAAAAAATGTAATAGAATTTTAAATACAAAAAGATTTGTATTCCTCCCCAAATGATATTTAACTTGACTTAATTTCATTTTAACAAAATTTCATTTTAATAAAATATACTTAGTTTAATTTTTAAATTATGTGTTAATTAACTTTTGTTAAAGAGAGTTTTGACAATTTTTGTGCAATCTATTTTGAGGAATTTCAGGAAATGGAAAAATTTTGGCAGGAAGAAAATATGTTTTCAGCAAAAAAAAAAATTGACATCAAACACTATTATATTACAAACCAGCATCCTGACAGTCACCAACATTTATTTGAAATTCCACTGTGGGTTTGTTATAGTTTGAATGTGTCCTTTCCAAAATTTAGGTGTTGCCAATGCAATAGTATTAAGAAGCAGGATCTTCAAGAGGTGATTAGGCCATGAGTTTCCCTCTCTTATGAATGCAATTAAGGTCCTTATAAAAGAAGCTTCACAGGGTTCCCTTAAGCCTTCCCCCTACTGCCACATGAGAACACAGCATTCCTCCCCTCAGAGGAAGTCACCATCTTGGAAGTAGAAAGCAGCATTCACTGGATAACCACACCTGCCAACACCTTGATCTTGGATTTGCCAGACTCAAGAACTGTGAGAAAATAAATTTTTGTTCTTTATAAATTACTAGTCTCAAGAATTTTGTTATAGCAGCACAAATGGACAGGTTCCAAATAGCTGTGGTTATTCTCCAGAATTTAATGGCTTCCCATGACTGGAAAAGCATCCTTCTTCATGCTTTTATAACACCATTTATAATTTTTTTTTTAGAATTCCCTCTCTTATTAATAAAAAATCAATTACTAAGAAATCCCTTTGGTCTTTTGTAACCCTTTTTTATATTTAAACATCATACTCTTTATGTACTTCGAGTATTTTGCATTTATCATGTCATCCCATGAGAAAACATGCCTAATTAAAACAACTTGTACAGTGCCAAGAACTCCACACATACTTAAGAAACATGAAACATGTTAGAAATGATTGTGATGCTTTTCCATCCAACATTGCTTGAGAATGACCAATATTTAGAAGCAATCATACTAGGAAAAAAATTTAATCTGTTTGTGATGATTAAGTGAAATCTAGAAGCCAGATATGGTAATGAATCTTGAACAGAACTTGTTAAACATATTTTTAAAAAGTGGTTAGGAAGGATTATTTTTAACTGAGACCATTTGTTGCCTTAAATAAAAATCAAGAAATTCTGAAATAAAATACAATTGGTAAAAGGAATATGACTGCAATTTCCCTTCTTTTCAAGAAATAGATTAATGTGTAGTTTTTGGTTACTATCTTCAACTAAAAGATAGTTTGCAAACTGTTTACTTAATATATGAATCTGATAGCAGGATAAGCTTTTGAATGAATTCCGATGTTGGCAAAAGGTCTATTTAGGGATATCTCTAATTTCCATTAAGGCACATGCCTCCTCAGAATCCCCCATGCCTGTGGCCTGTTCAACCAGGGCCACATACCCTTTTTGACACCTTCTTACCAGTACCTGGTCTTGAAACATTTTATAGTGTTTTCCACCAAGCTCCAATCAAAATGTATGCCATTATTTCCCATTTCCATGAGATCAGTCTGCCCACGGTCAGATCTTGTTTCGGGTAAAACTTTCTCTTACCTCCTAGACAACTGGGGAATAGACTCTATCACCTACCTGAAGGAACGACCTTTTAATTTTGTCCAAGAATTCAGGGGGGTGTATAGGGATGACTTGTTTCAGTTCCTCCATGCCTGGAGACTAAGCTGGGGAGCCAGTATAGATAAATTGGGGATATATACCTCTAGGACCTCAGTTCTTGCTCTTACCTTGGTTGGCTGGAAGGCCCAAGAAACTTTCATTCATATGTTTGATATCTCAGTTCTTTCTACATAGTCTCTCACTTTCTGTGTGGCTAGGCTGGTCTTCTGAGAATGGAGGTCTCAAGGTAGTTGGACATGGCTGCTGTTTTCCAAGAGGAAGGAGCAGAAGTTGTCAAATCTTCTTACAGACATCAGCCAGAAAAGGAAACATCATCACTTCCACTATGTTTTATTGGTTAAAGCATAAAGCCAGCCCATATTCTGCCTCTGGAAAAGATGGGTGGCAAAGAATTTGCAGCCACCACCAACCACAAGTTATTTTACATTCTTGCTACTTTCAAAATGCACTCAGACTATCCCAAGATGCCAAAAGTCTCATCTAATAAGACATCAGAAACTAGCCTGGGAATTTACCATCTAAATAGTTCCAAGAGTAGGTTAGCGTCTTCTGGCGTGGTTTCTCATGTGTAATTCCTTAGGTGTGACTCCTCATGACCTGATAATTGTGAAAGGAGATTATCTGGGTTCTACAAATACATGCACTTTATAAGACATGGATGGGAACACTTCAACACATACTTTTATTCAAAAAGAGGGCAACACAGGACACATTGCTGTTACTAGTAGCAGTTCTCAAATCCTATCAAGTTCCTACTGCTGGATCTTTGGTTCTCTGTGCCTCTTGCCTCTACCTTCTGATTCATTCTTTCTTTTCCATAAAAAAAGTGACCATATTTGATGCTGAATAGCTTTCTTATTCTATTTTATTGTTGTAGAAGTTCTGGAACCTAAATGCCCTCCTTTCATTTTGAGCTATCTTTGTCACTTACAGACCAAGCTGGTATAATTTCCTTAACATTTCTTTCTTCTCTTTTGTGTTACATGTTAATTCACATGCGTGGACAGAAGCCACACTCAGAAATCTGTTTTGAGACAGGGCTCTCTCTGCCTTGGGTTGAGAATCAGAGTGCTGTTGGGCAATGCCCTTATAATTCTTAGAAATCTTTTAGTCTCACTGAACAGATTGGCTATGCACTGCCATAAATATTTTGATGTATTAACAAAGAGTCTTGCTGGCTGAAGTTATTTCTTATCTGAGAGTTTTTCTAGGGGTGAGAAATATGCAATTATAGGGCAGTTCATTTTGAATCCAGTAGGTTCTGTTTCTGAAATATTTTCTCTATATCTGGCTTGAAACCGAACAGCTCCTTCTTTAGTTCATGTCTCTCCGGACATGCTTTATTAAATACAGCTAAAATAAATGCATTGGCACATTAAACACTCCGAGTGGCAATCTCTTTAGCCAACTTCACTAGTAAATTAGGCTTATTTCTATTTTCCAGAGTTTTGCCAAACTTTTTTGTCACCATTTAACATATGTCTGTTTTTATTCAGCCTCTAATAACAATTTTCTCTCTGTCCTTTAGCCTTTAACTAATCTCTTGTTGGTATTTTATGGTTTGAAGATCACCATTTCATCCCAAAGACAGTGCCATGTATATGAGGTTTTTGTAATGGACATACTTCATATCCCTGGTAAGAAATCCTATCTCAGTTATCAATTGCTACATACACACCCCCATTGCCCAAAACAAAACACAACGCTAAAACAATTTAAGATTAGCTTTCCCAGTTATATGATTTGAACAGCACAGGTGGCCAATTGGGAGCTCTTTATACAGTTCAATTAGAGGTGATAGGAGTTGGAGTCATCTGGATATTCAACTGGGCTTGTAGCTTAAATTATTCACACTTTACTCATGTAATGATGAACAGTTTTAGGTGCTTATAATATGTAGAGGCTAACTCTCTCTTTCTCTCACTCTGTCTTTCCCTCTGTTTGTCTCTCCTCCTTTTCTGTCTTCACATGGGCCACTGACATGGCTATCTTGAGCTCTCTCACAGCATGGTAGCTAACTTTTCCTGGAACAAGCATTTCAAGAGATTTTGTCAGAAGCTGCAAGTCATCTTATGACTTAAAATTGAAAGTCATGTGTCATACTCTATCACTTCTGCATTCTATCAAAAGGGAGTAACAAGGCCAACCCAGATTCCAGGGTATGCGTATTGTGCGGCACTGCTCATTGTAGTAGGACTGCAGGGTCATCTTTCAAGGCTAGCTTCCAGAACAAGAATGCCTATTTCAAAAAAATTATTTGATCACCTCTAAATAAGCCTTTTTTCCACTTTCATACTTATTTTTAAACTCATCAAATTGTATACATTAGATATGTACAGCCTTTTGATGTTAATCACACCTCAAAAATGTTTTGTTTTAAAAGAATTGCTTTGTCAGTTCTATAACTTAACAGAAGATCTTTTCTCTTCAGGGTATAGCCTGAAATTCCAATTTGAGCTAAACTGTTTCACTGATGAAAAGCCCAAAACCCAGTGCAATAGGTTTTATGACTATAGTAATCATTACAGCAAGACCCAGATTTAGAGACACCAGGAAATGACAAATAGTGACACTGAATCACCTGTTGATTTGGAATACTGAAAATTTTGATAATTTATGTCTTTGAGATGGCATAAACATAATTTAGAAAATTTTTCATTAAAAATTACTTTAAAAATCTTGATTGCTTAGCTTTAGAATTTTGTGCTGAATCCAGGTTTAGATATATATAGTGTTTTTGTGTTATGCTGTAAGTCTGAAGTTATTTATCTGAAATGTTTCATATAAACTAAGTAATAAGTGACCCACTTAGAATTGGTGGCTATATAATTAACTTGTTTATGCCTACAAAGACAGAAAGAATATGTTGATTTTATCTTAGTCAAAAGATTAAAAAGCTAATAACGCTCCTCTTCTTGCATTACTAGTTTGATAATGTTGACAACTTATCCTATTCTTAAAATCACAGCTACCATACACAACACAGTAGACTCACCTGTTAAATTACTGTGCATTTTTTCCCCTTTTGAAAAGAAGAATGAGATTTTAAAATTCAATCCTTATGGTAGAAATAGATATAATGACATTTTTGATTACTCAGATAACATAGATTCCTCTCTTTAATTTTAGTTTTAAAAACAATTTCAGATCAGGAATTAATGCAAGCAATCAAATGTGATAATAAAATTGCAAACTTCATCTAAGGTCAAAGTATATGCATGGCATTTATAGAACATTTCAACTTATATAAAGATTACAACGAAGCAAATACTGGTAAGGAGATTGTTGCACATGTTGGTTTCTAATCTATTCAGGGTGAATGAAATAATCAACGATATGAAAACACCAAAGGAGGAAGGAGAGAGAAAAAGAAAATAGGAGGGAAGATGCCGTAGATGTACAGGGCACTTCTATTGGAAATCATGATATTTAGAAGTATTGACTATTACAACTGAAAGAAAGCTTTAAGGTTATTTTGCAAATCTTGATAGGGCCTCCAGAAGTAGTGTCCTTGTTGCGGTCATCCTCTCATCCCCAGCTCAAAATTTGGTTTTGCTCTTAGGATTGGTGATATCAAATAGCCACCAAGAGAGTCTGAAAAGGTTTGCCACTCTAGTAATAATATGGTGGATGATGAAAGGATCAATAGTGCAAGCTCTTAGCTTACCAAGTAAATTTCACAAATTTAATTAAGGTAAAAGGGTCTTGTACTATGTGGAAGGTAATATCCCATCCCATTTTTTTGAGCTACTGTGTAAGTTTAAAATGAATTTCCTTGGATGAGAATGTTATTGATATTGACATGAGGCAGGGAAATACTGGGTAGGACAGGGTATTTCCCTGGCAAAGTCCCCACTTTCAGGCCTGGAAACTCATGGCCCTAAATGGGAGCAGGTATTCCTGTTATCATGCCCAAATTTTGCCTTTTCCAAGACCCCTCTGGCATGCCACTCCCCTATCCTGTACCTGTATAAACCCCAAACCTCAGTCTCCACGAGCAGAAGAGTGGTGAGGCAGAGAAGGAGACAAGAGAAGGAGCATCTGAACGTTGAGAGGAGTTTGACTGGAGATGGTTGGAGAGGAGATTGGAAGTGGGACAGCCAAACTCCTGAGGAAGACCATCTTCCCACTCCATCCCCTTTCCAGTTGCCTATCCATCCCACCAAAAGCCACCTCCATCACTTAATAAAATCACCAAATTTGCCAACCTTCAAGTCTGTGTGACCTGATTCTACCTGGCCACCAGACAATGACTCAGGTACCAAGAAGGCAGTGTGTAAAAGGCTGTCATCCTGACTCTCCACTAGCTAGTTTAACACTTAGCTGTCTGAGGACGGCAGCTGCTAATAGCATTAATTGTAACACACCTCTACATGTTACCATGGGGCTGGAGCCCAAAAGTACTTGCCCCAGCTTCTGCATCTGCCCATCTACATGCTCCCCATCCTTAAGAGGTTTAAGCATACAGCAGCTGAGCAAACAAGTCACACCCCTGTCACAAGTCCCACGACGGGGTCAGGGAACTCTCTCATCTCATCATCAGTGTGATCTCAGAATTGTACCCTTGAAAAAAGTTAGATGTGGCTAAGATCTTGTCTGCAAAATCTTGCCTGCATAATCTTGCCTGCCAAATCTTGCCTGCCATTTTGTGCAATGGCAGAGCTTTTGAGGAATCCAAAAGGGTAGCTGGGAAAATGTATATCATGTTTCTTCAAAGGTGAAGTCAGGCTGTGACTGAGAGGCTGTTCAAATTGGTCTTGAACAGAACATACTAGCCAAATCTATACTTGTAAACTACTTTTCAGTTGCTTATTGGATAAAGTCAGTGATTTTAATAATATTGGATATGGGATCTTAATTGACTATTCTATGGCATTAAAGTTGGGATAATCCAGGGTGAGTCGCTATTTGTTCTCTCCAGTTTTAAAAACAGGCCCACTTGGAATGTCAAACAGAGAAACAATGGGAATAATCACCCTTTCCTTAAATACATATTTTATAATGAGCTTCAATCCTCAAGCTAGTCAATAGGCAGCAGCTTAAGGTGCATACGGGAGAGCAGCAACAGAGTCAGTGAACAGACCAAAGCAAGACAATAGGACTCCACTGATAGTGGGTCTCCCAAGACATGTTGCTCACTGTGCCAATTGTTATAGTCACCCTGAACAAGGGTGACGGACTCTCTACCCAAACATTGGTTTAGATGTAAAACCAATGATGATGCCACACATATATCCACACAAGCCAAGAGGAGGTTTCTGGTGAAAGAAAGGTGGACTTCAAGCAGGCAAAAAAAAAAAAAAAAAACATGCTTGAGGGAACAAAAACAAGGTAACTGGGTTGGGGTTTTATTATGATTGGGGTTGGGATTGAGGTGATGGTTTCCTTACAAGGGCTATGGCTTGCATGGTCCGAGTTTCTTGCTGGTGCCAAAGGAGTGTGAGCACTGGACTTTCACAGCTTGTCCAATGTGGGAAAGAAGTGGACGAAGGAGCACTGGTGCCTGAAAGCTGTGAGCAGTCAAATATAAAAATAGAGTCTCGGGGCCGGGTGCGGTGGCTCACGCCTGTAATCCCAGCACATTGGGAGGCCAAGGCGGGCGGATCACAAGGTCAGGAGATCGAGACCATCCAGGCTAACATGGTGAAATCCCGTCTCTACTAAAAATACAGAAAATTCGCCGGGCGTGGTGGCGGGAGCCGGTCGTCCCAGCTACTCGGGAGGCTGAGGCAGGAGAATGGCGTGAACCCAGGAGGCAGAGCTTGCAGTGAGCCGAGATCCCGCCACTGCACTCCAGCCTGGGTGATAGAGCGAGACTCCATCTCAAAAAAAAAAAAAAAAAAAAAGAGTCTCATTCTTTATTACAAACCTAAAACAGTCTCATAACCACTGCAGTGATGGGGGAAAAAAGATGTGGTATCTACTTAGCTTTACTGTTCCCAAGGTCATAAGCCCATCATTAAGCTGACAGTATTTACAGAAATAATTCTGTTTTTTTTTTCTTTTCTTTTTTTTTTGTTTTTTTTTGAGACAGAAGCTTGCTCTGTTGCCCAGGCTGGAGTGCCACAGCATGATCTCAGCCCACTGAAACCTTTGGGTTTAAGCAATCCTTCTGCCTCAGCCTCCTCAGTAGCTGGGACTACAGGTACACAACACCACGCCCAGCTAATTTTTGTATTTTTAGTAGATATAAGGTTTTGCTATGTTGGCCAAGCTGGTCTCAAACTCCTGACCTCAAGTGATCAGCCCGCCTTTGGCTCCCAAAATGCTGGGATTACAGGCGTGAGCCACTGTGCTAGGCCAGAAATAATTCCTTAAACTAAATAAGGCAGACAAAATTGGAAGAAGCTATCAGGTGTAAAATTTAGAGAAGCTCTCAAATTCCAATGGAAGCTGTAGCTTCAGGGTGTTTTTTAAACTGCAGCTAGTCCATTTTTTAAAATGTCACCTTCCCAAGAAGGAGTTGACTGCTTCTTGTATTCTTAGAATTATGCTTAAAGTATAGTGGCAAGCAAGAGAGTGCCAGTCTTTGTACATACAGTTTACGTTGACGAGTGTCTCAAGCTTCAGACTTCCGGACAGTAGACATATACGTAAAATACCTGAAACAGCTTGGAATAAGATAAAAGGAAGTTGTAGAAACTGGTTAACTAGACAGCACGTGCCCCAGCTATAGACATTCCAATTCAAATTGCTAAAACTGTCTGACAAAACAAAACAATACATAGCCTTGGAGACCCTTAATTAGCAAGCTTACTTTAGAGCTTAATTCAAAAAGTTCTCAGATTTTAATTCTTGATGGTAGGATTTGAATGATACATATCTACTTCCTATTCCTACCAGTTTTCTGGGGTCCCATCTAGAGAGCTTCGCCATGTATCTCTATTCCATTGTGCAGATTCCTTAAAATTTAGACTATAGTTCTTAGTGTATATGGCTATCAATGTGGAATTGTTTTCCTGGTCCAAAAGACGGTCCAAAGAAACTGAACTTCAACAATTTCTTCAAGATCCCTCAATTAGTTCGAGACCCAGGCTAGAATGGAACTAGAATATTTTACTTTCTCATGTCTATCAGTGCTGCATTTTGCTCTTAGACCTGGGATAGCATAGAAATAGAGAAATATGCAAATTGGAGGTTGAGGGGACAAAGAGGGTAAATTCACCTATATTAATCAAATACAGTCTAAGCCTCTTGCTCTCTAAATACTCTCTTTGATTTTTCACATCTTTTCTCATCTGTAATTTCTTCATCCTCTACTTTATAGTTCATTGTCTTTGCTAAAAATTTTGTTTGACAGTTGTACACGTACTGAAATTGCATCAGTAAGTCATTGCTTAGCGGGTACAGTGTGAAAGTTATCATGATTTTGCTTCATTATATATTTCCTGCTTTGTTTTTTAGCTAACTGGGGAGAGGGTTTTATTTATATAATCTGCAAAAGATCTTTGAAAGCTAGTAGCCTATTATCATTCTGTTGGTTTTTTACAACTGTTTAGTCACAGTAATAGTAAACAAACAGAACTATTTCAAGAGAATCAATAGCAAATACATTCATTTTCTTTACAGCCCATCCAAATCCCTACAAATTCCTCCTTGGCTCAAAATGAACTAGACAGTCCCTGTGACATTTCTGGACATTACAGGATATTGCAAAAGTCTTTCTTCAATTTTAGATGTAAAAATAGTTGTAGATCAAAAATCAGTATTTTCAACTCAATGTAGTAAGAAAATACATTCAAATCCCATTTAATGTTAAACCTTTTGCCCAATTCTTTCAAAAAGCAGGCATAGGGAAAAACTGGTACTACCAACTTCTTTGTAGTACCTGCCAGGCCTTCTCCATTTGCACCAAGTGAATAGGTGAGCTTCTGACTCATCAGGTAAGGAGTAGAAAAATAAAAAGGTGAGAAGGTTGAAAAGGATTTACTTCACTTCTACTAGTGTGAGCTGGCACAGGTTCTCCATACAATAGAACAGTTATCAAAGCTGACTCTCTCTTATAGCTGTACATTTCTAAACATATTATATTATCTAGGTGCAAAAGTAATTGTGATTTTTGCCATTACTTTCATACATCCACTTCCCTAGTGCAAGTGACATATCACTTCACTATTTGTCTAACTCATATTTTTTATTAATTTTATTTTAGTAAAATTTGCATACAAAAAATGACTCCATTTAAAGTTATCAATTTTATGAATATAGATTCATACAACTATGAAACCACAGCCACAATCAAAACACAAAACATTTCTCTTACCCTCAAATGTCTCCTTGTGCTTGTCTGCAGTTCATGCATCTCTGCTCTCCTGGCAAGAATAAACTACTAGTCAGCTCTTCATCACTATAGATTACTTTGCTTTTTTGTAGAAATTTATTTATTTATTATTTATTTATTTATTTTTTGGAACCAGAGTTTCTCTCTGTCTCCCAGGCTGGAGTGCAGTGGCACCATCTCGGCTCACTGCAATATTCGCCTCCTAGGTTCAAATGATTCTCCTGCCTCAGCCTCCTGAGTAGCTGGGATTACAGGGAGGCATCATCACACCCAGCTTATATATATAATATAATATATTCCTTTTATTTATTTGTTTATTTATTTTTTAAATTATACTTTAAGTTCTAGGGTACATGTGCACAACGTGCAGGTTTGATACATAGGTACACATGTGCCATGTTGGTTTGCTGCACTCAACAACTTATCATTTACATTAGATATGTCTCCTAATGCTATCCCCTCTCCCATCCCCCGACCCCCCAACAGGCCCCAGTGTGTGATGTTCCCCGCCCTGTGTCCAGGTGATTTCATTGTTCAATTCCCACCTATAGTGAGAACATGCAGTGTTTGGTTTTCTGTCCCTGTGATAGTTTGCTGAGAATGATGATTTCCAGCTTCATCCATGTCCCTGCAAAGGACATGAACTCATCCTTTTTATGGCTGCATAGTATTCCATGGTGTATATGTGCCACATTTTCTTAATCCAGTCTATCATTGATGAACATTTGGGTTGGTTCCAAGTCTTTGTTATTCTGAATAGTGTCTCAATAAACATATATGTGCATGTGTCTTTATAGTAGCATGATTTATAATCCTTTGGGTATATACCCAGTAATGGGATTGCTAGGTCAAATGGTAATTCTAGTTCTAGATCCTTAAGGAATGGCCACACTGTCTTCTACAATGGTTGAACCAATTTACACTCCCACCAACAGTGTAAAAGCGTTCCTATTTCTCCACATCCTCTCCACCATCTGTTGTTCCCTGACGTTTTAATGATTGCCATTCTAACTGGCGTGAGATGGTATCTCATTGTGATTTTGATTTGCATTTCTCTGATGACCAGTGATCATGAGCATTTTTTCATGTGTCTGCTGGCTGCATAGATGTCTTCTTTTGAGAAGTGTCTGTTCATAGCCTTTGCACATTTTTTGATGGGGTTGTTTGTTTTTTTTTCTTGTAAATTTGTCTGAGTTCTTTGTAAATTCTGGATATTAGCCCTTTGTCAGATGGGTAGATTGCAAAAATGTTCTCCCATTCTGCAGGTTGCCTGTTCACTCTGATGGTAGTTTCTTTTGCTGTGCAGAAGCTCTTTAGTTTAATTAGATCCCATTTGTCAATTTTGGTTTTTGTTGCCATTGCTTTTGGTGTTTTAGTCATGAAGTCCTTGTCCATGCTTATGTTGTGAATGGTATTGCATAGGTTTTCTTCTAGGGTTTTTACGGTTTTAGACCTAACATTTAAGTCTTTAATTCATCTTGAATTAATTTTTGTATAAGGTGTAAGGAAGGGATCCAGTTTCAGCTTTCTACATATGGCTAGCCAGTTTTCCCAGCACCATTTATTAAATAGGGAATCCTTTCCCCATTTCTTGTTTTGTCAGGTTTGTCAAAGATCAGATGGTTATAGATGTGTGGTGTTATTTCTGAGGCCTTTGTTCTGTTCCGTTGGTCTATATCTCTGTTTTGGTACCAGTACCATGCTGTTTTGGTTACTGTAGACTTGTAGTATAGTTTGAAGTCAGGTAGTGTAATGCCTCCAGCTTTGTTCTTAGGATTATCTTGGCAATGCAGGCTCTTTTTTGGATCCATATGAACTTTAAAGTAGTTTTTTCCAATTCTGCGAAGAAAGTCATTGGTAGCTTGATGGGTATGGCAATGAATCTATAAATTACTTTGGGCAGCATGGCCATTTTCATCATATTGATTCTTCCTATCCATGAGCATGGAATATTCTTCCATTTGTTTGTGTCCTCTTTTATTTTGTTGAGCAATGATTTGTAGTTCTCCTTGAAGAGGTCCTTCACATCCCTTGTAAGTTGGATTCCTAGGTATTTTATTCTCTTTGTAGCAATTGTGAATGGGCGTTCACTCACAATTTGGCTCTCTGTTTGTCTGTTAATGATTTATTATTACCGACCTTCTGAAGGCTACTTCTGTCAGCTCATCAAAGTCATTATCCGTCCAGTTTTGTTCCATTGCTGGCAAGGAGCTGCAATCCTTTGGAGGAGAAGAGGTGCTCTGATTTTTAGAATTTTCAGCTTTTCTGCTCTGGTTTGTGCCCATCTTTGTGGTTTTATCTACCTTTGGTCTTTGATGTTGGTGACCTACAGATGGGGTTTTGGTGTAGATGACCTTTTTGTTGATGTTGATGCTATTCCTTTCTGTTTGTTAGTTTTCCTTCTAACAGTCAGGTCCCTCAGCTGCAGGTCTGTTGGAGTTTGCTGGAGGTCCACTCCAGACCCTGTTTGCCTGAGAATCACCAGCAGAGGCTGCAGAACAGCAGATATTGCAGAACAGCAAATATTGCTTCCTGATCCTTCCTATGGAAGCTTCGTCCCAGAGGGGCAGCCTCCTATATTAGGTGTCTGTTGGCCCCTACTGGGAGGTGTCTCCCAGTTAGGCTACATGGGGGTCAGGGACCCACTTGAGGAGGCAGTCTGTCCATTCTCAGAGATCAAACGCCATGCTGGGAGAACCACTGCTCTCTTCAGAGTTGTCAGACAGGGACGTTTAAGTCTGCAGAAGTTATCTGCTGCCTTTTGTTCAGCTATGCCCTGCCCACAGACGTGGAGTCCAGAGGCAGCGGGCCTTGTTGAGCTGAGGTGGGCTCTGCCCAGTTCGAGCTTACCACCCGCTTTGTTTACCTACTCAAGCCTCAGCAATGGTGGACACCCCTCCTCCAGCCAGGCTGCTGCCTCGCAGTTCTATCTCAGACTGCTGTGTTAGCAGTGAGCTAGGCTCCTTGGGCATGGGACCTGCCAAGCTAGGCATGGGAGAGAACCTCCTTGTCTGCCAGTTGCTAAGACCTTGGGAAAAGCACAGTAATTGGGCAGGAGTGTCCCATTTTTCCAGGTAGTCTGTCACAGCTTCCCTTGGCTAGGAAAGGGAAATCCCCCAACCCCTTGTGCTTCCTGGGTGAGGCGATGCCCCACCCTGCTTCAGCTCACCCTCCATGGGCTGCACCCACTGTCCAACCAGTCCCAGTGAGATAAACCAGGTACCTCAGTTGGAAATGCAGAAATCACCTGTCTTCTGCAGTGATCACGCTGGGAGCTGCAGACTGGAGCTGTCCTATTTGGCCATCTTGGAATGACCCTAATTTTCATAATTTTAATAGAGATTGGGTTTCATCATGTTGGCCAGTCTGGTCTCGAACTGCTGACCTCAAGTGATCCATCTGCCTTGCCCTCCCAAAGTGTTGGGATTACAGGTGTGAGCCACTGCACCCCAACGCCATAGAATTTTATATTAATTCACTCTTATAGTATGATACATATTCTTTTATGTCTTTCTTCTTTCACTAGACACACGAATTTTGAGATTTACAAATATTGTTGTGTGCACTGACATACAACATTCTGGGGTTTTTTTTGTTTTTTTTTTTTTTTGTTTGTTTGTTTTTGCAGAGTAGTATTCTACTGTATGGACATACTAGTGTGTAGACATTGGTTTTTCAGTTTTGAAAATTAAGCTGGTATGAACATTCATGAACAAATCTATGCATGGGCATACATTTTCATCATTCCTCCTGGGTAAATACCTAGAAGTAGAATGGCCAGGTAAGTGAATATTATAATTTGAATAAGCTTCTAGTGTTTCAAAGTGATTGTAAGTTTCAGTTTCCTCGTATTCTCACTGACACTTAAAATTATCAAAATGTTTGTTTTAGCTATTTTAGTAAGTGTGTCCTAATATATCTCTGAAAATATATTAGCCTTTGCCCTTGGCTGATTTCTTCAAATTGAATGAAATGTTTTGATGATTTTATATATTTTAGATACAAATCTTTTGTCAGATAGATTTGTGTTGTATTGTAAATGTTTTCCACCATTTTATGCTGACCTTTTCATTTCTTTTTTCTTTCTTTCTTTTTTTTTTTTTTTTTTTTGAGATGAAGTCTCACTCTGTCACCCAGCCTGGAGTACAGTGGTGCAATCTCAGCTGACTGCAACCTCCACCTCCCAGGTTCAAGCAATTCTTCTGCCTCAGCCTCCCTAGTAGCTGGGACTATCGGCATGCACCATCATGCATGGCTAATTTTTGTATTTTTAGTAGAGATGGGATTTCACTATGTTGGCCAGGGTGGTATTGAACTCCTGACCTCAGGTAATCCACCAGCCTTGGCTTTCCAAAATACTGGGGTTACAGACATGAGACACAGCACCTGGCATTCATTTCTTTAATCACATTTTTTGAAGAGAAAAAGTCTTTAATTTTGAATAGTTTCTAGCTATTAATTTTTATGTGTGGTGCTTCCTGCACTTTAATTTTTAAGAGAAATATTTGCTTAAATAGACATTTAAGACAAATATTTATTTTAAAGTATTTGCTTATCTCAGGTTGCAAAGATGTTCTCTTGATTTTTCAGTATTCTTAAACTGTTAGCTTTTATATATAATAAATTTCTTAAACTATGTGTACTATTAACATGGACAGGAGGCAGGGAAATATTGGGTAAAAGAGGGCAGTCCTGGTGAGGGTCACACCATTAAGCCTGGACCCATGGCCCAAAGTGAGAACATGTAATCCTGTTTTCCTGCCCAGATGTTGCCTTTTCCAAAACCAACCTGGCCCAACCCATCCCCCATCTTGTACTCATAAAATCCCCAGGCCCCACTGGTGGAGCAACAGAGTGTCAGAGAAGGAAAGAGAAGAAGCAGCCGGACATTGGAGAGAAGCGGCTTGACTTTTAGAGCGATCGCTTGACAGTGGGACCTAAGAGAAGAGTTTGGCCAGAGATGCCCAAACTCTGGAGGAAGACCACCTTCCCACTCTATCCCCTTTCCAGTTCCCCATCCAACTGAGACCCATTTCCACCACTCAATAAAATTTTCCACATTTGCCACCCTTCAGTTCATTCGAGTGACCTGATTCTTCCTGGATGCTGGACAAGGACCAAGGTGTGGGTTCAAGAGGCTATCACACTGACCCTCCACTGAGCTGTTTAATATTTAAGTTGTCCATAGATGGCAAAGCTAAAAGAGCACTTTCTAACACATGCCTTCTGGGACTCCAGGGATTGTGAGCAACCCCTAGACACTGCTGTGGGCCCTCACAGAGTACTGCTCCTGCAAATGGCCCAGATATGCTTTTCCCAGCCTCTGCACCCATTCACCTGCATGTTCCCCCTCCTGCAAGGGGTTGAGAGCAGTGTGCTAAGTAAACAAGCCAACTCCTTTGCAAGTCCCACACAGGGGTCAAGGGAACTATCCTGTTTCACTATGGTCTAGGGTTCATATTTATTTTATTTCCTATGAATATCCAGTAGTTCTAATAGCATTTGTTGTAAAGATTTTTCCTTTTGAATTGCATAGGGACCTATGTTAAAACATGTATGTATCTTACTAAAATCACATTGTCTTGATTACTCTAGCTTTTTATTGTCTTGAAATAAAATACTTTTAGTCCTGTAACTTTCTTAATTTTCCAAATGTTTCATCTATTTTAGGTCATTTGCAAAATTGAGTTAAGAGAGCAGGAATGATTTACTTTATTCCACTCTTGTGAGCTGGCAATACAAAATTGTAATTTGACAATTACAAAATTAGATACTATTTGTGAATTACGCAAGAAAAGCCTTCTGGGCTTTTTATTAGGAATCTGTTGAATGTAGATTAAATTAGGAAGAATTAACACCTAAACAATCCAGTAACATAGTCTCTCTTTCTCTTTATTATTTAGGTCTTTTAAAAATGATTTCAGTAAGGTTCTGTAGGTTTTCTAATAGATGTCTCACATTTCTTTGTAAAAATTTATTTGGAAATATTTTATGTTTTTGGCAAGACTTGACAGAATTTTAAAATTCATTTTTCATTTTTTTCTGCTAGCATATAAAATACAAATTATTTTTATAGTAAACTTGTATTTTGAAAACTTGCCAAATTTGTTTATTCTAATAGCTGTCTTGTAGGTTCTTTAAGATTATATAGGTAAGCTATCATGTCGATAAGAAACAATTTTACTTCTTCTTTTCTGCTACTTATGTCAGTTATTTCTTTTACATGCCTATTTTGCTACAGCTAAGACTACTAGTGGAATACTGAATAAAAATAGCCATTCTTGCATTGTTTTCAACTTTAGGAGGAAAGCGTAGGATATTTTACCATGAAGTAGCGTAACTGCAGGTTTTCCGTAAGTGCTCTTAATCAGAAAGAAAAAATCTTGTTGTCTGAAAGTCTGTATCAAAATTGTTACTGAACTTTGTCAACTTCTTTATTGCATCTTTGAAAATGAACATCTGTTTTTTCATTTGATTCTGTGAATATGGTTAGGTTATATTATTTGATTTGTGACTATTACACCCATGTTACATTCCTAGAACAAATTCTATTTAATCAGGATGCATTATCATTTTTATATATTTTATATTCAATTTGATAATATTTTGTTAAGAAATATAACTATGTTTATGTAGGAAGTTAGTCTGTATGCTATTTTTTGCAATGTCTTTTTGGGTTTTGTTTTTAGGTTCATGTCAACTTTATATAAAAATAGTAAACACCCATTCTTTCTTGTGAAAGAGTTGTAAGATTGAATTTTTTACTATGAATATTTACTAGAATTTCCCTGTAAAACCATAAAGTCCTAGAAAATTTTTCTTTTAATACAGAAAGATAATGAATTCAATTTCTTCAATTGATATTGAAATATTCAGACAATATGTTTCATCTTTGTCAGTTAGGACATTTTATTTCTCAGAAAAACTATACATTTCATCAAAGTTGTGAATTTTTTTGGTCTATATTTATTCACATTATTCTGTTATTGCTGTTTTCAAGTTTTCAGGATCTGTAATAGTAACCCATCTTTAAATACTGATATAACTACCTTCTGTTATATTTTCCCTTGATAATTCCAGATAGGGATTTATTGATTTTTTCTAAATTCAAATTCTTGGCCTTGTTCATTTTCTAGATTTTTATCTTTTTATATTCTACTAAGTTTTTCTATTAAATATTTTAGTTCTGTCTACTTTGGCTTTATTTTGATTCTGGGACTTTAAGAAACCTATGTAAGGTATTATGTCTTGGATTACTAAGTTCAGCCCTTTCTTCCTTTTCAATATTATCATTTCAAGCTAAGGTTTTCCTCTGAGCACAAATTTAGATGCAGCTATCAAATCTTTACATTTTTATTTTATTTTAATTTAGTTTTCATTATTTTCTGCTTTCCTTGTTACTTATTTTTCTTAACTCATGAATTATTTACAAGTGTGTTGTTAAATTTTCATACTTTTTTGGGTGGGAGCTTCTTAAATACCTTATTTGTATTGTTTTCTAATTTAGCTCCATTGCAGTCAGAGAATATACTCTGTATGATACCAATAATTTTAAGTTTATTATTACTTGCTTTAAGATTCATTATATGGCTTACTTGGTGAATGAACCATGTATGCATACTTACTTGAAAATAATTATTCTGCACTTATTGAGCAGTGCTCCATACAGTGCTTAAGAGTATGGTTTAGATGATTTATGTATTTCCTGATTTTTTTATCTAGTTCTTCCACTGGTTTCCCAGAAAGAATTGTTAAGATATCCTATTATAATGATGAAATTGTTTATTCTACGAGTTTTTGCCTCATGTATTTTTAGGCTCTGCTTACACATTTATAATTATTAGCTCTCCCTTATGAATTAAGGCTTAAACTTTATATAATGTTCCTTTTTATCTCTAGCAAGAATTTTTATCTTGAAATATGATTTTTGCTAATATTTAAGTAGTCACTATATCCTTCTTAAATTTACTATTTGACAAGTATATATTTATTTTTTACACCTATTTTCAACTTTTTATTTAAAGTGGCCCTTATAACCATTTGCTTTGCTGTTGCCTATTTCACCTTTTTGGTAATCTGGTAATCTGTGCCTTTAATTAGGGTATTTATTTGATACTATTAAATGTAGATCCTTATAGAGTTGGATTTAGAGCTATCACTTTAGTACAGTTTTCTCATCTGATTTTTCTTCTGTTTCGCATTTTCTAACTTCAACTGAATTATTGAAATAGTTTTAGAACTATATTAATTCATTGAATTTTGTGTGATACTGTTAATCATAATCCTTTGGAATACTGTAGCATGAGAACAACTTCAAATGAATGTTTCAGCTTGATGAATTAGGGAAGGATTCTTACAGAGTTTTACTATGAGTGGTCAGCTGAAGTCCCACTAGTTAGGGAAATAATTGTCTAAAGATGTTTCTCTAAGACAGAGGGATTATTCTGTGGCTCAGCAGCCATTCATTGGGCAGTTATCAAGAAGGATAGGAGGGACAGTTATGAGAGCCAAGGTCCTTTGTAGGCTGGAGTGAACAATTTTTAGTATGTTGGAGTTTTTTACATTACCCTACTTTGTTTTGACTCAAGCTATTTCACTTTTACTCATAGTAAGTATTTCCATTCTAAATATTTTGCCTACCTATTTATTTCCTTTGTATCATTTGTTTGTCTCTTTGGAATGGAATCTTCATAAAAGCAGAGCTCCTGTTTAGCCTGTTCTAAATGTTTCCCATGCCTACATTAGTGCCTAGCACTTAATAGAAATTCCAGAAATATTGCTTGAATTAAATTGCCTGAATGAATGGATGATCTTTTGATACTACTCTCAGATTCCCTATCATGCACAGAAACTAACTCTTTAAATTTTAGATAAATTCTTTCTTTTATTGCCTTCTAGTTCCCTCAAGTTCTGACTTTTTACAACATGAGGACTAAGTTCAATTATTTTTTTCTATTCAGTAGACAGTGGTATACCAAGGAGACAGCAAACAAACAAATAAGGAGAAAGAAACAAATGGGCATAAACATTAGAATGCAGAATGTGCCCCTCCTCTACAGGGTATTTGGCTCATTCAGGTTTCAAGTAGAGTCCAAGTTTATTTTAAAATATCTGCAGGAATGAGAGAAGAAACTAGATGGAAAAGTAATGACTTCTTTTTTTTATTTTATTATTATTATACTTTAAGTTTTAGGGTACATGTGCACAATGTGCAGGTTAGTTACATATGTATACATGTGCCATGCTGGTGTGCTGCACCCATTAACTCGTCATCTAGCATTAGGTATATCTCCTAATGCTATCTCTCCCCACTCCCCCTACCCCACAACAGTCCCCAGAGTGTGATGTTCCCCTTCCTGTGTCCATGTGTTCTCATTGTTCAATTCCCACCTATGAGTGAGAACATGCGGTGTTTGGTTTTTTGTCTTTGCGATAGTTTACTGAGAATGATGATTTCCAATTTCATCCATGTCCCTACAAAGGACATGAACTCATCATTTTTTATGGCTGTATAGTATTCCATGGTGTATATGTGCCACATTTTCTTAATCCAGTCTATCATTGATGGACATTTGGGTTGGTTCCAAGTCTTTGCTATTGTGAATAGTGCCGCAATAAACATACATGTGCATGTGTCTTTATTGCAGCATGATTTATAGTCCTTTGGGTATATACCCAGTAATGGAATGGCTGGGTCAAATGGTATTTCTAGTTCTAGATCCCTGAGGAATCGCCACACTGTCTTCCACAATGGTTGAACTAGTTTACAGTCCCACCAACAGTGTAAAAGTGTTCCTATTTCTCCACATCCTCTCCAGCACCTGTTGTTTCCTGACTTTTTAATGATTGCCATTCTAACTGGTGTGAGATGGTATCTCATTGTGGTTTTGATTTGCATTTCTCTGATGGCCAGTGATAGTGAGCATTTTTTCTTGTGTTTTTTTGGCTGCATAAATATCTTCTTTTGAGAAGTGTCTGTTCATGTCCTTTGCCCACTTTTTGATGGAGTTGTTTTTTTTTTTCTTGTAAATTTGTTTGAGTTCATTGTAGATTCTGGATATTAACGCTTTGTCAGATGAGTAGGTTGCGAAAATTTTCTCCCATTTTGTAGGTTGCCTGTTCACTCTGACGGTAGTTTCTTTTGCTGTGCAGAAGCTCTTTAGTTTAATTAGATCCCATTTGTCAATCAATTTTGGCTTTTGTTGCCATTGCTTTTGGTGTTTTAGACATGAAGTCCTTGCCTATGCCTATGACCTGAATGGTAAGGCCTAGGTTTTCTTCTAGGGTTTTTGGGAAAAGTAATGACTTCTTTCCTCTCTGATACAGACGAGATTTGTAATTTCCATTCTGAGCTCAAAACACCTTTTTATAAAGTCTAAATTATCTTTACTTGCATTCCAAATTATACATTAATATAGACCCATATTTGCAATTTAAACTGGACAATGTTACTTTCCTGTCCTAATCTTGATGGTTTCACTTAAATTTGCAATCTGTTTTAAGGGAAGTCATATTTTCTCATAGTAGTTTCCGCCAAGAAATTTATTCTATTTCAAAACACATTTTGAACTGTGTTGTTATGTTTTCTCTCCTAGTGTTCATTCCTTTCTTCCACCAGGACCAGACTGTATGATTCTATGCCTGCAACCCATTTCTTACATTCCTTAGCTCCTTCTTTCGTACTTTGTGTGGTCATATTTAATGTTTAATACCATTAGATTTTAATTATACCAAAAAGCAAAAAGATTTTAAAATGGAGATACAGAATTCTGAATACATAGCTAGTGTCCTATTTTAACAATTCTTAATAAATAAATGCATTGCAACACAAATTTCCTTACAGTATAATTGTTTTTATCAACGTTGACGCTCTAGACAAGAAGTTCTGCAAGAAGTTCCTCGTTATTCCATGTTGTTTGGCAAATGTCTTTACACTGTAATTTTTCCAAGTTTGATTAGACACCTCTAAAGATTTCTGAATAATTAAAATCTTTTTCTAACACATTTTCCTCAAGTTATATTTCTATTTGTTTACAGGCTTGATCTCAGTTTGTGACTTGCCTGCAATGTTTTCCATTACCGTGCACTGTTTGAAAATACCTTGATGGTGATAATCACTGGGCTCCTGGAGTGTTATTGGTGTGGTGAGCATCCCTGACCTGCCTTTTAAATTTTCTTCATTTTTCCACAATTAAACAGATTTTAGTCTTGTTTACAATTGGCCTCTTGCTTTTAATTTTTTTGTCAACTGCATCGTGTCATTACTTTCAGTATAATTTTGTAATATGTGATTTTCGTTTTCTTCAAACTTCTATGATTTTTTTTTCTAACTGCCAATTGACTACTGAAACTAATTGGCAGTAAAACGTAGGGATAAATTTCATGAATTTTATTCATGCAAATTTTCTTGCTGTCTCTTTTCATATAATCCTTTTGCCTTAAATGGTAATGTTGCTATGCTTTATGTAAGATAACATTTTATTTACATTACTTATCTTCTGGTCCCAGTCTATGATTCTTTTAAGCAATACCTATAAGTTTCTGTGTGAGAACCATTAAGCCCTTTCTAAAGCAGGAATGCATGTGCAATGCACAAAACAGATCCAATCATGCTGCCCTCTTTACTGATTCTTTCCATCATATCTTCAAGCTAATCTTTCTTAATTCTTCTGTCTAAATTGCATTGTTCCAAGATTTCTTCTACAGCATTGAGATATTCGTTTATGTAACTCTGGATCTACAATAAGCCAATAACTGTTCAAATTATAGGACTAAGTATGATTTTCATTGCTTTTCTCTGTTTGATTTTGAATTGTCTACACATTAAAGTGCTACATTTTATTAGTTAATTTTATGAAGTAGAAATTACATTCCAAAAATCATATTCAAATTGACTTGTTTTAAAAATTATACTCTTTCTTTAGTTGTTCAAAACATGAAAGAACCAATTCAAGTGTTTCTTTTTACACACACACACACACACACACACACACACGTGATCATTTACGCTAAATAGGTCATTGACCTAAACAGGCTTGTGATAATAACAAGAGAGACCATTTAAAATAAAAGATTACTATTATTTTATACAAGTTTATTTTTTTCACAGTAAAGTCCAGCTCTGTTGTGGTAAATATTTTGTTGAAAGTTCTGTTTTCTTATGAGGCATATTCAAATGCCTTTAAAAAATTTTAGGTAATTTACTGAGTAAGATAACCAAAGGAGTCTTGTAATTTTAAGAAGTATATTGTCTTGTTTGTGGATCTCAAAGGCCTATTTGTCATAGGAATCCTTTTGAGCCATCTGTACCCAGCCTGTCTGTGAGAACCCTGAAATTTTATTAAGCAGGTAGGCACAAACTGTTAGGTTGGCAAGACAGGCAAAATCAAGAGTTTTATAGCAGGTGTATATCAAGAAACATCCAAGCAATAACAATAGTGTTACCAATTTACAGGCTCTTTAACTTCCAGGTCTAATAATTTGTTTGATTTTAGACATGATTCATACTACCTACAAATATTCTCTTTATATAGTACACTTGTATTAAAATGATTTGACAACTTCTAGAATTTTTCTTAAGGGTGAGATACAAAACATTGAGGTCAGATTTGATTGGCTGGCAACAATAAGAACATTGTAATGGTGTCATTTGGGATAAACAACAAAAAACAGTACCAACAAACTTTCGACAAAGAAGAAGGAGACTTTAGAGGACAAAATACATATTTGTTAGTCACTTTCCATGTGTTATTTAACTTATTCCTCAGAAAACCCCTACAAATTAGGTATTCCCATTTTACAGATGAGGAAAGATTAATCAGTCAGACCCTGCAGGAATGGAGCCTCAGTGGCTTTTATTATTATTGTATTTATTTATTTATTTATTTATTTATTATTTATTTATTTATTTATTTATTTATTTATTTATTTATTTTGAGATGGAGTCTCGCTCTGTCTCCCAGGCTAGAGTGCAGTGGCGCGATCTCGGCTCACTGCAACCTCCGCCTCCCGGATTCAAGCGATTCTCCTGCCTCAGACTCCCGCGTAGCTGGGACTACAGGCGCCCACCGCCATGCCCGACTAATTTTTTTGTGTTTTTAGTAGAGACGGGGTTTCGCCACGTTGGCCAAATTGGTCTCGAACTCCTGACCTGAGGTGATCCACCTGTCTCGGCCTCCCAAAGCGCTGGGATTACAGACGTGAGTCACCACGCCCGGCCGGTTTTTCTTTCTTTCCTTCTTTTTTGAGACGGAGCTCACTCCGTCGCCCAAGCTGGAGTGAAGTGTTGCAATCTCGGCTCAGTGCAACCTCCGCCTCCTGGGCTCAAGTGATTTTCCTGCCTCAGCTTCTGAGTTGCTTGGACTATAAGCACTCCGCCACGCCTGACTAATTTTTATATTTTTAGTAGACACAGGGTTTCACAATGTTGGCCAGGCTGGTCTCGAACTCCTGACCTCTGGTGATCCGCACGCCTTGGCCTCTCAAAGTGCTGAGATTACAGGTGTGAACCGCCACGCCCGGCCCTCCAGTGGTTTACTGATTCTCCCATGCGAGCTCCCGTGTCCACCCACTGAAAAATGTCATTTGAGCCCAGCTTGAGTTTCCTGATGGGGAGCTGGACCCAGTGGAGTGGGCAGAGTCAGAGACATGATGAGGCCTTAAAAAGGTGAAGCTAGGATTTAAACCCAGGTGTATCTTGCTTCAAAGGACTAAATTTTAATACACCACCTTCTGACTGAAGTAAAAATCAATTTATTAATCAAGTTAATGGTCTTTTAAACTTGTAATACATTATAAAAGTAGTTATTGATCATATGCTATAAGCCAAGAGCTCTGAAGGATTATCGTGTATGCATTAGTTATTCTTTCTTTCCCAATTTCCAGTTTTCAGTAAAGAGTGTATGTGTGTGTTTGTGTGTGTGTGTATATACACACACACGTATATACATACATACCTACATATGTGTGTATATATGTGTATGTATACATACACATGTACATACATATACACACATACATATATGTGTATATACGTATACATCTGAGAGACTGTGTATACATTATTCTTCCCTTTCCAATTTCCAAGTTTCAGTAAAGCATGTATGTGTGTGTATGTATCTACATACATATACACACACATGTGTATATATCTACATACATATATGTATATTTATTGAATCTTGTGTACATATACATACATATATACACATATGTGTATGTGTATACTTTCGTTTATGTGTGCACATGAGCATATACACAAATAATAAAAAATAGCAGAATGAGGAAATAATTTCCAAATTTCAATCCCTCAGAAGGTTGAGGCAAGAGCCACAGTGACCAAAACATCATAGGTAACCTCTCGTCCTCCATCTCCCAACTTCTAAGAATTTGAATGAATATCAGAATAGCTGTGGAATGACCACAATATTTGGAGTAAATATTTTATTTAATTTTGTGTAGGCATTAAGGGATAAGATATTGAAACTGATGTCTGTATTATAAATATTTTAGAACTTGCCAGTTTTTAAAAAATTGATATGTTTTGCACTTCACCGATTAATCTGCATCTTAATTTGAATTCATTGATGTATTATTATTAAGATTAAGAAGATTAAACTGATATTTTCTGCTGCCGTAAATAAGTAGCCTTTGCCATCCCAAAGAAAATATTCTGTTGGAATATCTGAAAGGAACGCTACAGACAATATAATATTTTATAGTATAAGTTAAGGAAATAATTAAAAGTTAATAAGAGTAGAGATAATTTGGTATTTTAAATGGCAGAACGAAACTTTCTGTCTACAACTCTTAGCAAATCAAAACTCTCTCTATGCCAACTAAGCAACATATGTGTGGTAGTCAGAGCGATGTCCCAATGGACTAATCCCCAGAACCCGTTAATAGGTCAGGTTTCGAGGTAAAGGAAATTAAGATAGCAGATGGAATGAAGGTCGTTGGTCACCAAGCCTTAGTGTAGGAAGATTATTTTAGATTATCTGAGGGGCTCCAATGTAAACATTGTCCCGAAAAGTGGAAAAGAGAGCAGAAACATGTCAGAGTGATGGAGTGTGAAAATGGTTATTGCTAAATTTGAAGATGGAAGGACACCACTAGCCAAGGAATGCAGGGGTCTTCTAGAAGCTGGAAAAGACAGCAGAACAAATTATTCTGTAGCGTGTCCATAAAGGAGCACAACCCTACCAACCACTGATTTTAGCCCCATAAGTCCCTTTTCATACTTAGGGCCTCAAGAGCTATAAGACAATACATTTTCATTGGTTTGAGTCACTAAGTTTGTGGTAATTTGTTACAGCAGCAATAGGAAACTAAGTCTCTGAGTAGTTCTCTGAAATATCGTGTTGTATAGCTGCTGAACATGTGTTCATTGGCTGAAGACAGAGAAATTAGGCTGGACAAAGTGGCTTACACTGGTAACCTCAGCATTTTGGGAGGCCAAGGTAGGTGGATCACTTGAGACCAGGAGTTAGAGACCAGCCTGGCCAACATGGCAAAACGCCATCTCTACTGAAAAAAAAAAAAAGCCAGGGGTTGTGGAACGCGCCTGTAATCCCAGATTCTTGGGATGCTGAGGCACAAGGATTGCTTTAATCTGGGAGATGGAGGCTTCAGTGAGCTGAGATTGAGTCACTGCACTCCAGCTTGGGTGACAGAGTGAGACAAGTATGCTCAAAAGTATGCAAAGGCTTTCATTTCCACATTTTGCTAATTTAAGTTCTGTTCAGGTATTTATATTCTCAATGTCTCAAAGGTTTTTGGTGTGTAATGGGTCTTTCAGTTTTCACCTATCCTTTTCTGAGCATTCTTACCTAAGACGTAGCCATCAATCCATCCAATATCTGGACTGGTATTGTACTGTACTAACAACCATTTTCACTCTAATTCAAGATTATTTTTTTCTCAAAAACAACCTCTCCAGTTCCTCATTTTAGTAGTTCTCTTTTGAGCTTACCTCAGTAGTTCTCTAAAACATAGCCCTACAGAGTAAAATCAAATTATAAATATAGGTTAGGTGCAAGCTAATACTACCATTGCTTTAGCTTCAAATGGATTCTTTATTTACTAATGGTAAATAAAGATGGTATTTACCATCTTTATTTGGTAATGATGGTATGAATAAAAAATATTCGTACCATCATAAAATGCCTTTAACACAAAGCCTGATACAAAGTAGACCTTGAAAAGTATTAATTTTCCCACTCTTTTCTATGAAGAACCATTAAATACTGTCATAGAGTAATTATACTTATATTCATATGAATATAGTGTTTTGAATTTTTAAAGTCATAAACCCAGTGAGACAACTATTTAATATGATTTTCTAACAGATCTGTAGTTAATTTGAACAAAGTATGTAAAAAGATGGAAGAATTTCTGTATATAATATAGCTTGAGCTTTTGAAGTCCCATTGCAGAATTCTCCATCATTACGAAGAACAGAAAGATTATCCTTTATGTTAATTCTCCACTAAATTAAAAAAATACCTTTGGCTCTAAATTACAAGTTCAAATTTGCAACTGAAGCTAATAATTAACTTAGTCAATACAGTTTCTGTAATAAAATTTTAAACTTTATTCTTCTAAGAATAGGACAATAATACAAATATGTTTGTTTAAAGATTTCCCTTGATCTTCTTACCTTATTTCAAAAGTACTCTTTTTTTTTGTAGGAGTGGTCAAAATATATTAGAAGATATGAGAGAAAGCTTTATTTAATTTCAAGCATTTTTTTAGCGTAAGCCACTTGACTTTTTTAAAAAAGCCCACAATCTAAAATATGTTGACATATATAGCAATTTTTTTTATATTCTAATGGGATTAAGCATACTTTTTGTGAAAATAAAACTCCTAGACCCCAGGCATTATAAATATAGAGAGCTAGTGTTTTATAAATATGTTAGCAATTTTTCCACTATTTTAAATGTGTTTCAAATGGTGCCTATGTTTAATCACAGGGAAAAATAATAACTTTACAGTGAAAAAAACTGGTGGACACCATCTTAACCAAGTGATCGAAGTTATCATCACCAACAAAAGGATAAATCAATGTCATGTGCCTCTGGATGTGATACACTGAAAAAGACACTTTGTCATTTATGTGATATTCCTGACCCCATATTCATAACCTGAATCCAGTTATAAGGAAATATTACACAATTCAAATTGAGAGAGATTCTACTAAATAACTGCCTGCAGTCTTTGAAAGTGTCAGGGTCATGAAAGTAGAAGTACAACTGAGGAACCGTTCCAGACTGAATGAAACCAGAGACCAGACAGCTAAATGCAATGTGAGATACTAGATCAGTGGCTAAATCAGGAGAAAAGAATAGCTCTAAAGGACATTATTTGGACAACTGATGAATTAGATTTGAAAACAGAGTGCAGATTATAGTATGGTATTAATGTTATATTTCCCAATTTTGAAAATTGTACTCTGGTCATCTAAGGGAATGTTCTTGGTCATAGGAAATATACAAAAGACTTTCTGGCTGGAAGACACCATGTTTCCAATTTATTTAAATAATATTAAAATACATAGAGAACTAGTACTAGTAATGATAGTAACAAAGCAATTGTGGTAAAATCTAAGCAATTAGGTGCAGCTGGCTAAAGAGGGCAGAAGCTCTTTGTACAATTTGTATAACTTTTCCCTAATTTTGAAATAATATCAAAATAAAAAGTTTAAAGAATAGGGAGTCTGGAAAGTGTACATTATTTAACCTTATAAGGAAAGTGCAGTGTATATATTTAAAAAATAAAGATTTGAATATTAGATAAACTCATTTTACTTTTTAGAAAATATGTAGTTTGGAAGATATGTTCCAATAGAGAATGTGTATTAGTATTCTACTTGCTTCTAAACAGCAGGTGATAACAATTTTAGTAAAAGCACTGTTGTTTGTAATATTTTTGTTCTTTTCCTATTTCAAAGATCAAGGAAACAGCTCTCTTTTAAAACAGTTATGAGTCAAGGTGAATTCAAACCAGATGTTTAGAGAGTCTCATTTCACTTGAAGATTTCTGATACACTCTGTAGAGAACGTCTAAGACATAATGACGAGCCAACATTTTTTATTTAAGATTGGATATTCATGGGTCAGCCTTCAATGTTTGTTTTTCTAACTGTTTTATAGTGAAGTTTGGTTAAAAGACTTGGCACAGTGCTCTTCAGTTTAATTTTCAGCCTGACAGAAATGCTGGCCTCAGTGTGTGTATGTGTGTAATTTAGTTGCTGTGCTACTGGAAGTCTATGGAAGATTAATGAATGGTGAGGCTCCGTGGCAGTTGTAAGGGGATGCAGGATACAGAATACCAGCCACCATCTGTTCAAAATGCCTTTTGTAGTGCTTTTAAGGAAAACAGTTACCAGCAGGAGACAGAGGCAAACAATGGCTTTAAATATTAATGTTTCTGTTCTCACAAATAAATATTGTAATTGTTCTTGTATCATCTTAACAAATAAATATGCATATTAGTTTGCAACCATGTTGTATATTCAATTCTCCAAAGCAGGAAAATTACCAGTAATTTAATATACTTACCAATACTTCCTTTCAATTAGGATCTTCAAGGTATGATATATATTAAATCCAAAGAAAAGCTCAGTAAATCATCTTCTACTTTGGAATTAATGTTTATCCTTAGAAGCACCTCCACCATCGTTTCATACAATTTATACAATGTGCATTAATTATGTTCTCATAGATTCATTATCCCAATCATGCCTTCAAATCTTTTCAAAAGTGTCACTCGATACCTGGAATGCTAACTGTTATTTATTAATGAGTTCACTAGGAAAACTCTAGACTAGTGCTTTTCAAACTTTAATTGAAAACAAATCACCTGGGGTCTTTTAAAATGCAGATTCTGATCAGTAAGTTTTGGCTTAAACCTGACATGATGAATTTCTAATAAACTTCCAGGTGATGCTGATGTTGCTAATCTATGGGTTACACAATGATTAGTATAGATTAATCTCTCTGATGTTTTTTGCTGCCAAGAATAGTGGAGGGGTTCATTCAAAAAAGGTAAAAATATACACACCCACCTGAATGTTGGTATCTACTTGGCTCGGTCATTGCCAGTGGTGGTGGATGTCAACCACCCATTCGGCAACTGGGTGTCTAATATTCACCCAGTCACCAAATAACAATGACGACAACAACAACAATAATAATAGCAACTCTTTAATGCTAATCAAATGTCATTAGAATCAGTATTGGGTGCTTTTATCAACACTTTTTGTTATATCAGGAAATCATAAAATATGTACATAAAACTTGTACATTTTATCTTAATTAAAAAACATAAATGTTAATTCTTTCACCTATATTTGATCCCAGGCCAAGGTATTTTATTTTAGTATAACTCAGCAGATTAGATTTCCTTGTCATCTTTCTTACATAAAAGGGACCCATAATTCATCACCTCAGATTTCCAGTTTTCATTTATTTCAAGTGGAGCAATAACTTAAGTACACTTGCAGAGAACTACGATTAGAAGATTTACAGTAACTTTCAATTTGTTACAATTAGCTTCTCTATACCTAATTCAAGTGTAATTATTTTAGGAAGTCAACTTTATTGGGAGGATCCAAAGCACCCAACATAATTACCATAGAAACAAAAAATTCTTCTTTTTGTTTTACTTGTTATTATTGCTATACATAATGATTAATTGAAATTATAGCTTCAGAGACAAATATAGCCAAAATGTTTAACTCATTACTAAACACTGGAAGCAGAACTATGTGCATAAACTATGCAACTGACTAGCTATAAGTGTAATTGTGCCATTAGTATCCATCAGTTTGTTTCACAGAAGGTAGAGAGAATAATAACCAGTCAACAAGGTGGTGGATGGTTAAGAAAGCTTCTAGTCTTCAAGAAAATCCAAAGCATATCTGCAACATTTAAAAAAAATTAAAGGGATTAAATTCATAATCTTCAGAAATGTTTCTCATAATCTCTTCTGATACTTCCCATTTCTTTCGTACATTCGGCTCATTTTTTCTTCCCATATTGAGTCATATTTTCTTTTCCATCACCCTTTTACCACTCTCAGATTTTATTTTGAGGTGTGTGTGTGTGTGTGTTTCTGTGTGTATATATGTGTGTGTGTGTATGTGCATGTGTATTACTTTAGCCACTTTATATTCTTACCTTTTTCTCCATTTTCTCAAGTCTCACCTCCAATTCTTCTTCAGAATCATGAAATATCTGGGGGAAAATGGGAAAAAAAGGGCAGTCTAAAATTATTTTCTTGGTATTAAACTTTTGTATCTTACAGATATTTGCCAAATTTATTATTTGCTTGATCCGTCAATGAACTAAGGTAGTAGTCTTTAAGGCTCGTGCGTCCCAATAGAGTAAATTAAAGCAACACTGCTGTTTGTTAGTAGAGAATGCCTTAATTATAAGGATCATTCAAATAATATAAAATTAGAGAGTCATTAAATACAACGCAAATAAATACATATGAATGAATTACCTGGAAACAGAAAGCCAGCCTAGGAGGTTTTGTTCTTAATATAATTACCTTAGTGCCACCAACTAATGATAAGATCATGAAATATGAGCAAAATACAACTATATTTTTCACTCTTTTCTCTTAAAAATATATGATTTTTCATTATTCACGATTCTCATCAGAGAAAGCAAACAAGAGCAAAATTAATTAAAAAATGAAAATACGCTATAGTCAAAATTTCAATAGAACTATGCTAGAAAAATATTACCAAAGAAACATCGAATATTTGGAAAAAATACATATATAAGTTAGCTTAATTACTACCTATGCAAAAGATTGGTTGTAGGTTTTATGTCTACCTAATAATGTCATGATTTAGTGAGAAAAGGATTGAATTGAAATTCTGAAAACTTCAATTATGTGCCTTTTAAAATTTTTCTTTTCAGAATAAAATCTGTTGTAAAATATTTAAAAGCTAAAATAGACAAAAAAATTTTTAAGGAATGATTTATATATTATACATAAGCAGAAATTTAGGTTCAAATTAGAATATGGAAAACAAATGGCTTTAATCATCTATTTTCCTGATAAATAGCAAAATACTTTTGTAACATTAGATGTTTTATTCAATATCTTTTTGTTAATGATTAGAGGAAGTTAAGAGGAAGCTTCTCCAGGTCCAGAAATTAGACATTTACAGTATTTATCAGCATACAGTTGTCTTTCTAAGGCTTTTGATGTACAACTGTACACACCAAGAGACACATACACCTGCAAACACAGACAAAGCTACCAACTGATGTGCCTATGAATGGATGATATTCTACTTTATTCACTATTGGTTTGATCTCTTAAATAAGTCATGCATTGTTTACAGGGCACTGTATTAGCAAAACTGATTCAATGTGATATTCAGGTTTCTATTTCAGAAGTCATAAACAGTGCAAATTTGGATTAGTGAAACTGTTTTTGCCTATAAACGATTTTCCAATAGAAATAGCTCAAACAGTAAATCGAAAGCAAAAACTACCCTCAGAATTATCATTATCTAATATATACACAACATTAAAGAAAAGAAACCCACCAAAACTTCTTAACGGATTTAATATATTTTCTTGTATAATTTTTTCACCAAGTTTTCCATGTAAATTGTGCTTACTAAGGTATAGATACTTAATTGAAATCTAAATGTAGAAGAATTTGCAATTATAGTTATGTCTACCTTACCTTAAGAACAAAATAAATATTGCATAACAACAAAATGAATACAAAAAATCCTAAAAAAAAAAATGTAAGCAACTGGCCGGGCGTGGTGGCTCACGCCTGTAATCCGAGCACTTTGGGAGGACAAGGTGGGAGGATCACCTGAGGTCAGGTGTTCGAGACCAGCCTGGCCAACATGGTGAAATCCCGTCTCTACTAAAAATACAAAAATTAGCTGGGCATGATGGCAGGTGCCTGAAACCTCAGCTACTCGGGAGGCTGAGGCCGGAGAATCGCTTGAACTTGGGAGGCGGAGGTTGCAGCGAGCTAAGATTGCGCCATTGCACTCCAGCCTGGGTGACAAGAGCGAAACTTGGTCTCAATAAAAAAAAAAAAAAAAAAAGAGTAAGGAACTAATGTTAATAAACAGCTTAGCTAGCTCACACTGCCTATGTCCATGCTACAAAACTGTAGACATAAAACAAAACTAATATCTGATGTTCTCATGTTCCTTTCAAAGATTGGGTTACCTTGGTGTTTCCCTCAAGAGACTGTACATTTGACTGAAATCACTCAATATCAGTAATTTTATAAGTACTTTCCCTCCATTCCGAAAACAAAACTATTTATATTAGCTAGAACCTGTGAATATGATTGCTTACATGGCAAAATGTAATTAGGTTTAGAGACTTTGAGGTGAGAAAATTAACCTGATACCCAGGTAGACCAAATCTAATCACACGATTCCTTAAAAGCAGAGAACTGATCCCAGCTGTGTGCAGAGAGATGGCAGCATGAGAAGGATTGGACTTGGACCACATCCAGTTGCTGCTTCTAATATGTATGGGGCTGTGTGCAAGGAATTGAATTGTGCCAACAACCAGAATGAGGGAGGAAATGGATCCCCCACTCTCACCCCGAGTCTTCAGAAAGAAATGCAACCATGCCAAAACTTTGGCTTTAGCTGGAGTGAGATTAGCATTGAAATCCCGACTTATAGAAAATAATACAGTTGAGTTATTTTAAGCCACTAGGTTTGTGGTCACTTATCAGGACAGCAAAAGAAAACGAATACAATTCCAAATCATATGTCTGGTTTAGTTGCCATGTCTCTTTAGTCTACTTCATTTGGCAGTTTTTTCAGTCTTCCATTGACTTTCATGACCTTAACACTTTTGAAGATTGTAGACAGATTAGAATGTCCTTCAATATGGGTTTCAGTGTCCATACTGTTAGATTTAGGTTATGAGCATTTGGCAGATTACCACAGAAAGAATACTACAAGTCTTCTCATTGTATTTTGTCAGATGGAGAATGATTTTGATTCTGTCCATTGCTGATGATATTCACTCTGACCACTTAAGTAAGTTATCTGCCAGGATTCTCCAACTGTGAAGTGACTATTTTTCCTTTGGTAATTCTTTAAAGTTTTGGAGGGAGCACTTTGAACTATGTAGTTATCACATTTGTCACCAGACTGTCAGCAGACTGTTAATTAATTTATATATTAAAGTATGGGCTCCTGGTTTCCTCTTTAATTCGAGGGTTACAGTCATTGCTTTTATTTAGATGTCTCTATGTCTCTCCAATGGATATTCTCATGACTGTTTTTGGATTCCCCCTCGGGCTACCTGGCTATGAGGATATTCTGTTCACACCATTGGGTTCCATGACTCCACACCACGTTACCCCAGATCCTGCCTTCCTATGGACATCACTTTCACTACTTCTTGGGCTCTGATGTTTCTCACCAGCCACCCCCACCCCCCCACATAGATACCCACCTCACTTTACTGGGCTCTGACTCTTAATTTCCACAATTTTTCAAACTAAGTTAAAACTTCACTTGTTCTTTATGGAACCCAATAACTTAGTGTTGAAAATGTGTCAGTTACTAACTGGTACATGGTTTCAGGATACCATGGGATCAGTTGCAAAATACTATGAATAAAAATTAGATTATTAATCTAATTTAATCAGCAATTAAGGGGAGTTGTTCTTAGTTTTGCTCATATATCCTACAGAGTTAGAGTGAAAATTTTCAAATTATTTAATGTGATACAAACATTGTATTCTAGAAAATTTCACAATTGCATTCGGTAAACTTTAGTAAGAAAGTATAGTATGAATGTTTATTCATCTCTTAGTTTATTTAAAATGCTAACATACAACACAAAAGAGTCACCAGAGTCAACAAGTTTAAATGAAAAGTATTTTAAATGCTTAGTCAGAAACCCTAGATTCAAATATATACCCTCTAATTTACAGTGGGCAGATTAATTACTCTTTTTTTCTCATTTATAAATAGAATAATCTTTGTTTTGTTCACATTGGAAAGCTCATGAGCTTTCAAGTCAGATAAGTCTGGGTTTGGATTTCTGTTTTGACATCAATAGTTACATGACTTTTGACAAGTTATTTAATTTACCACATCTTCTATTTCATCATCAGTAACATGAAGATAGTAATTGCTACCTTAGCAATCAGTCTGAAGTAGGAATGAGATGGGACAATATGCATAAATACCTAAGCCAGTAGCTGCTAGGTGCTTATAGTGTGTGACAGCAGTATCAACAATTGAACAAAAAAAGAGAGAAATATCAAAAATATTTTGTGAATTTTAAGGTGTTATAAATATGTTATTTATTTTATTTTTAAAAATATTTTCCTAACACTTTGCATTTCTCCTTTTAGGCATTATGGGAAAGCAATAATTTATTTTCTAGCATTTTTAAGGCCATATTCCCTACTGAAATTTAATAGAAGAAAAGAACCACGTTTGTGCTCAATGTCCTAATATTCACCTATAATATTTCATTGTAGTTATTTGTGTGCATCTGTATCTTCTTTCACTTGAGAGTAAACTCTCCACAGGCAGTGTCTGTCATGAGGTTTAACTTATGAGTAAGTGTCACATGGATGTGAAATAAAGAAACGAAAAAAATATGTGTTAAATTCACATATATTGATAGAAGCAAACAGCAGTATTGGTTCACATTCAGAACCATCTTTCTAGTTCAGATCTACTGAACATAGAATATTTTAATAAAACCATAGAACATCTGTATTTTTAAAAATCTGTTTGAATATGAGAAAATGCTTGTTATCTTATAAGAATTTCAAACTAATTTTGAATATGTAAGATATTAGTTTTTCATTTAATAAAACTGAATTCACTTCCATTAATAGAAATAAAAACAAATAGGCCGTGCGCGGTGGCTCACGCCTGTAATCCCAGCACTTTGGAAGGCCAAGGTGGGTGGATCACGAGGTCAGGAGATTGAGACCATCCTTGATAACACCGTGAAACCCCGTCTCTACTAAAAATACAAAAATTAGCCGGGCATGGTGTTAGGCACCTATAGTCCCAGCTACTCGAGAGGCTGAGGCGGGAGAATGGCGTGAACCTGGGAGGCGGAGGTTGCAGTGAGCCCAGATATGCCACTGCACTCCAGCCTGGGCGACAGAGCGAGATTCCGTCTCTAAATAAATAAATAAATAAATAAATAAATAAATAAGTAATAAAAAATAAAAACAAATAACTAAAATTAATGTGTACATTTTTTTAAGTTAAACAGTTTTTTTTTTAGAGACAACATCTCAGGTGTATCACTATTTGCCGAGTCTGGAATCAAACTCATGAGCTCAAATAATCCTCTCATCTCAGCCTCGCGAGTAGCTGGAACTACGGACATTTACCATTCTGCCTGGCTTATACTTTAAAACCCAAAGTGAATGTCTATCGACAATTGAGGAACTGTGTCCAGTTCAAAACTATAAGAAAGGAGTAGCTTGAAAAACAACAGGTTGGAATTTAATTAAAAGACTGATGAGAAGCAACAAGAGCAAGCGGGAAGAGGGAAAAAAGATCCCTTAGTGCTTAAGAGTAAAGAATTGCCTGTAGCATTTTAGGGACAGTGGTTTTAAGGGTTAGAATGGTCCAGGACAAATTCAAGGCCATCATACCCCTCTGCCTCTGCATCTTTCCACTAAGACTGGAAAGCGAAGTATCTTAACAATCTGTGCTCCCTGCTTCTGGTGCTTTTCAGTGATAGCCTGAAAGTTATCAAGCTTCCCAAAAACCTAGTACAAGAAATTTCACTTAGTTTCATTGTGATTTGGATCATTATTGCACAGAATATATTATTGAAAGCATACAAATACTTGTAAGTTGTTGTTAGGCAATTGACATTTAAAATGAATATCTTTAAATGAATTTTCAAGACTACAAGTGTTAATAGTGGGGAGAGAAAATGAGGAGTTTAGGTTTTAAGTGATCCTTTTTTTCACCTGCAGTTTTAAGTTTCCCCAGAAAAATCTTCCAAATTCTTTAAAAGGCAAACTTGTTAATATTGCCTTCCTTGTTAATATCCTTCTATGACTCTTAATTAAACAAGATAAAACCCAAATTCCTCAGCATATAGTCAGCAGGATTCTGCCCGCTTTCCTGTTTCTGTTTAGCCATTTCTCACAAACCCTTTGGAAGTCGATCTCAGCAAGCTGCTTATTGCTTTCTTTATGCATTTTGTGTGATGTTCTCTCTGCCTCAACTAACCCATTTATTTACTCAGTGAGTGCATACCCATAGGAAAACACCTCAACTCATAGCCCTGCACCTTTGTGAATGCTTACAAGCTCAGGCAGAGTGTGGCGCTTTCTTCTTTGTGGCTCCCATGTCTCTAATGACATTCCTGTAATTATGCTTAGGTGTTCATGTCTTCCATTAGTCTGCAAATGCCTCAAAAAGAAAGATCATGTTCTATACCTCCATGATCCTCTTGTGCCTAGACAGAATCGGTGTTTTGTAAAGCATTGTTGAAAAATGAATGAGTGACATATATGGAAGAGAAATATTACTAACATGCCAAATAGGTTCAGATCATAGACGAACGAGACGGTTCTAAGAATAACAATTCATTTACTTGACAATTTTCTCAGGGCCAACTAATCTAACTTTCCTTGCAAAACCACCTTCCCCATTCCATGCATAAAGAGTAGAATAAAAATGATGCCATTACATTCGGTGCACCCTAGTGGCTACAGAGAATCGACAGCACTTAAACACAGGGTTTCACTGTTATAATACTTTTTCACACCTCATCTCTACAGCTCAGCCCACTCCTTAACAATTGAAAAACATTTGGGTGATTTTGTTTATTTGAATATTTATAAGATCTGCCATTTGTAATTTCTTGAGGTTTTTTATTGCTTATATAAAATGACATCTATAATGCTTTTAATCAACTTCTGTATCTAGCACTCAAATGCTGTTGACATTAAGGTAAACAATATAATTTGCACTAACACTATGGAAACCTTTAAGTTCATGTATACACAATATGTTATCTTCTGCAAAATTTTATGGAAATTTCTTTTTTTTTTTTACTTTAACACAGTAGACAGGTACTCGAGCAAAAATGACCTTTTTATATCCTAAGTTCCTCAAATCCTCTACTGTGATTCAGTTTTGCATATTGCACCTGCTGAGTTCCTAATGCAAACTATCACAGTGTGTGGTCCCTGCTACTATAAACATGAATTCTCTCATTGTGATTTCATATCTTCAGCACTGATTATAATGATTCTTTGTCAGCTCAAAGCTGTCAACATTGTTCTCAAAGGACTGCAATCTTAGCTAAAAAAAAATACTGGGAGCTAGTCACATGGAATTAAAGGTGGACTAGTGTTCTCAAAAAAAGAAAAGGAAGACAAATGTTTCTCTACTTTCTCACTGACAAGAAAAAAATGAACTGTATAGTTTTGGTTTTGTCATATCACCTTATTAATGAAACTTAATATTTTTTAATGAAACACTTGGCATCACTTTTATTTTTTCTTATTCTACTATGGCAATATTCTAAATATAAGCCACTGATAGTTATTTTTCTGCTTAATCCTCCTTAACACATTTCCCTTTTCATAAAAAGTGATAAACTACACAAACACTCAACTGCCTGATTACACAAATACCTCTACTAATTTGCCAAGGTTAGCAGAAATGGTGCGTACAGTATTTTGTTGGCTATGCATGGATGAAGGGTGCAGAAACAGCACAAGGCTATATATTTCACACTCCATAAACAAAATGGTGAAACATACACTAGAAAGGTGCAATACTTATCTAATCTAAATTCAGACAACATCAGTAGCTTTGATCTCTATTAGGTTAAATCACTGTCTCTTCAAGGAATGATCAAATCATTAACCCAACAAACCAGTTGATGAAAATACTCACATATATGAATACTGAGTAAGCAACATTTCTGATACAGTAAGAAATAACTCCACATAGTGGAGCATAATAATAATGACTGGAATAGTTTTAAAGTTTTATCCTTTTTTTTCCATTTATTTGTCCATTCATACAAAAAATGTATTAAACATCTCTGAACTGAGCAAAGTGCTAGGCATTAAAATAACAAAGATAAATAGCAATTTTTAATGCAATTAATCTCATAGTTTAGTGGGAAGAGCT
Source organism: Homo sapiens (assembly GCF_000001405.40). Lineage (NCBI taxonomy): Eukaryota > Metazoa > Chordata > Mammalia > Primates > Hominidae > Homo > Homo sapiens. The sequence goes on along the minus strand of NC_000013.11, from coordinate 71,159,441 downwards.
AGCTCTATAGACAAATTAATAATACAGAACATTGTTAGAACTCTTATTAGTAAGGATAATCTCGGTCATAACAAATGACTCCCAAATTGCTGTGGTTTACAAAAACTAATATTGTTGGGCTCATCGTTGGGCTATGATTCTCCTGTATATTATATTCACTATGGAACTCAAGCTAAAAGAAATATTCTCTGTGAAATATTTCTGACTCTTAATATTATTTTTATCTGGAAGGGACACATGCCAATTTCACTTATATTTCACTGGTGAGACCAAATAACATGGCCAAGACTGACATTAATGTGGTAGTAAAGTATTATTCTCCCTCCACAAGGGGCAAGAAAAAAATGGAAATAACTATTCAACTCTAATAGTACTATAAAACAGAGGTGGACCAAGAACTTTTGGAAGACACTGGGCAAATCAGTGTTAGTTCTGGAAGAATCTGAGGTGAAGAGGACATCACGGAGGAGGTGACAATTAAAGGACAATAAATATACCCTGTCAATATTACCTTCTCACATTATTAAGGGGTTGGGGGGTGTAATTCTCTACAGAAATTTAGTGGTCTAGAAGTATAAAAGAAAATGGTATGTTTGGATAGGAGTGGAAGGTTCAGGACCCAAAATACAATATTTTGCAGAGTAGGAGAGGTAGTGACTTCGGGGGAAAAATAAAATGTCTTCAAGACTAGATTATGGGGACTGGACTATATTTTATTAGCTCTGGAGAGTGGGAATAGCTAAACAAAAAAGGGACATGGACTGTAACCAGGTCCCCGAGACCTTCTAGCGGAATGGGAAATACTGAGCAGTTAGACTGTTCTCAAGAAGATGAAGGCCTAAAATAGAAAGGAACAGTAAGAATGGGAAAGGGCGACTTGCTGCTTCCTGGGAAGTTTTAATTTCAGATGTATTAGTTGATAACTGGGACCTTAGCTAGTCTGTCTTTGATAATAAAATGAAACACAAAGATATAAAGACATTTACTGAGTGATTGCAACTGATTTTAAACATTATGCTAGTAAAACATTATTATTTATTGTTTTAATAAATTACATTAAATGTTATGGGAAAATATATATGAAATTTACCATTTTCACCATTTTTAAGTGTATAGTTCAGTGGCATTAGGTATAGTCACATAGTTGTGCTACCAACACCACCATCCATCCACAGAATATTTTTCATCTTGCAAAACTGAAACTATGTACCCATTACACAGCTACTCATTCCAACCTCCTCCAGTCCCTGGCAATCATTATTCTACTTCCTGTCTCTATGAATTTGACTAGACTAAATACCTCATATGAGTTTTTAATTGTATTAAAAGAAGCAAAATTATAATTCTATAAAGTATATCTTTTTTGAAAGTACATCACTGATTATCATAAACCAATTCATAAAATTATTATGAAATGTGCTATTTTGTAGAGCAATGACTGCACAAGCTCACTAATTCACTGGAAGGACTCATGTAACTAAACATAAAGTTATATACAATAGTTAACAGTTATTGCAGCAAAGCATATAGTGAAGGATTACAGGAAAAAGACACGCAATAGGCAAAGGGGAATGGTCACAAACACAGACTTTCTTGCCTTCACTTTATGGGTATCACATAATAGATGCATCATTTTCTCCACCTGCAAATTGTAGATTATGTGGGAGCAATCTTTACCCAGGAAAGCCCACTTGAGTCTTGGACTCCAACATGGTGCAGACCCCAAACCAGGCATTAGATGCACATCATAAATCTTCATGTTTACTCTGAACATGCTGACAACCTGGTCCATCTTGATGCACTTGGGATGCATAGATGTACAGAACGCTTGGGATGTATAGAAAGAACATCATCACTCAGTAGCTACAAAAAAAAATTCAAGTTGTTTTGTTCTCAGAGTTTGCATGTAATCACGATTACCTATAGGCAAGAATAGAATAAAACAAGACTGCTGCATTAACTTTTTCCATATATATGTGTATGTGTATATGTATATATCTTTTATAACAAAATATACAAATATTCAAAGTCTAGCAGCTTTCTTATTTTTAATTTCATTTAGTCATCTATTTTTAAAAATATTTAGACAAAGACTTTCCAAATCATTTTTGATACATTTTGGATCTCTTGAAAAATTTTTTGAGTTCCTGGCATGACGTTCATTGTGCATGTAAGTCAATAGGACTTTGACCACTAGTCACAGAGAAAAATTTATCTCATTAATTAACAGTTACTCCAGTAAAAAATATTATTGTATAGTCCAACTTCCTCTTCAGAATGTAGAGAAAGCAAAGGGCACATGAAGGACAATTCCGGGTGCAGAAAGTTGGGTAAGGAGCATTAGCACAATATTCCTTGGAGCCCCTCAAATTTCAAAATTATGCCACTGAGTCTTCCCTCATTACTATAAATAAAATGCTTCTCTTTGCCTAGCCAGTCTGCCTATGTTAACTTCTCTCTACCACATTAAGGTGATGTGAACAAGCAATTTCAGTGGATTGGCTTATGATTTACTCACAAATACAGATTTTGGGGAGAAATCAAAGTAGAATCACAGACTTTTACTTTGTTTCTTCTTTTTTAGATGATGTGGAAGCTTAGTATCAGACAGACTTGCCCAAGCAGTGTCATATAATCAAAGGCAAAGGGCGGGATCTCACACTAGCAGTTGGCTGGAGCCAGGTTTACCAGGAAATATCAGCTCCAGGAGGAGGAGGAGGAGCTGTGGCACTGCTGTGCACTGTATTCCAAATAGTGCTCAGAGATCTGAAGAGGCTCGCTGTCAGCCTGCGGAGAAGAAGCGCTGACCCTTGGTCTATCAAGTTTTTGAATTACAGCCTTCGTTGGGAAGCAGTAGCTCCACCTCTGTTTTGATCGGGGGTTGGTAGCATTATGAAGTGGCAGAACTTTGGCTCCTGCTCTAGCCCATTAGAACAGCAGTAATGATTTGGTGAGCACCAGGCCTGCTCCTGGAGTGATCAGGAGCTCACGTTCAAAGCTTATGAATACAACTGATATAACCTAGGGGGTGGGTAAACTGGATTCCATCTTGATACCATTCCAGATTGATTTCACAGAACGTCACAGAAGGCCAACATGAAGACACTAGAGTTACTCCTTACGGCTTACTTCTCAGTCACCCAGTTAATTTGAGAGCTGGATGAAAATTCCTGTCTTATGTCTGTTCATTCAGTCTTTCAAGTAAATATAATATCTGATGAGCCCCAACCACGTACTAGGCAATAGGAATATGACAATGCAGAAAACATTGTCTCTATCCTCAAAAATTTTGATATCAGGTATTAAATATAAATATGTCACCTGGTGATTTCAATACGGAGTATAATAGGGACTATGATGAAAGAGGGATACGGTAGCACAAAAAAAGAGATACCTACTTCAGTCTTTGAGAATCAAGAAAATTGGAGTGATTTTTAATAGCTGAAGTACAAGTTATTTCTGTTAGAGTATGCTTCTTCCTAGTAGCTATTTTTTTCCCCAGAATGTATCACTGTGATATAGTTTTTGTTTTGTTTTAAAATTTCCATTATGATCCTCAAACATTGTCCAGTTTTTTGCATTTATGGTTAGATTATTTCTCTTGGTAGTGGACCATTCCTAGTTCTCAGGAGAGTAGATCAAAGTTATTTTCCCAGTTTCTAAATTATTTTTATCACTCACTAGCTTTGGCACCACACTAACATGTTGCCAAAAATTTGTTCATAGTGTCCCTCTATTATCCCTTTATTATCTGTTTGGTCATTAATAATAACATTATCTCTTTTATTCTTTCCCTGGTAATGTGTGCCTTGTCTCTTATTTTCTTGATCTAACTCGCTAAAGGTTTGTCAGTTTTGTTTAACATTTCAAAAAAACAAACTTTTGTTTTCATTGATTTCTTTATTGATTCTGTTTTCAGTTTTATTAACTTATGCTCCAATCATTATGTCTATGCTGCTTGCTTTTGCTTGCTTTTTACATAGTTTGCCTTTTTTCCTAGTTTCTTAAAGCAGGAGCTTGGCTACTGATTTGAGAGTTTTTTTTTTCTTTACTGATACAGGGATTTCAGGATATAACTTTACGTCTAGATACTGCTTTAGCTACATCTTATAAGTTTTAAGGTGTGTTTTAATTTTTATTCAGTTCAAAATCTTATCTATTTCCTTTGTAATTTATTCTTTGAGCCATTTTTTAAAAATTTTTATTTTCCAAATATTTAGTATTTTTCAGATTCTTGTCTCTGTTATAGAATTCGAATTTAATTCTGGTCAGAAAACATATTTTATATGATTTCAATATTTTAAAATTTATTCAGACTTATTTTGTGGCTAAACACAAAATAAGTGTCCATCCAGGAGAATATTTGATATGCAATTGAAAGAACTTGAATACTGTAGACTTTGGATTAATTGTGTTAAAAATTTTAATTTTTACAATTTATCAATTTAGTTGATAATGTTGTTTAAGTCTTCTGTATTCTTGATGATTTTTAGCTGAGTTTATAAAAGAACCTGAGTAGCTAAGGCAATTCTAAGCAAACAGAACAAAGCTGGAGGCATCACATTACCCAACTTCAAACTATACTGCAAGGCTACAGTAACCCAAACAGCATGGTACTGGTATGAAAACAAGCACATAGACTAATGGAACAGAATAGAAAACCCGGAAATAAGGCTGCACATCTAAGACCATCTTACAAAAACAAGCAATGGAGAAAAGACTCCCTATTCAATAAACAGTGGTGGGTTAGCTGGCTAGACATATGCAGAAGACTGAAGCTGAACCCCTTCCTAACACCATACACAAAGTTAACTCAAGATGGAATAAAGATTTAAATGTAAAACTCAAAGTTATAAAAATGCTAGAAGACAACCTTGGCAATACCATCCTTAATATAGTAATGGACAAAGATTTCATGATAAAGACGCCAAAAACAATGACAAGTGGAATATAATTAAACTTAAGAGCTTCTGCACAGCAAAAGAAACTATCAACAGAGTAAACAGACAACGTACAGAATGGCAGAAGATTTTTGCAAACTATGCATCTGACAAAGATCTAATATCCACCGTCTATAAGGAACTTACACAAATTTGTAAGAGAAAAACAAATAACCCCATTAAAAGTGGGCAAATGATATAAACAAATATTTCTCAAAAGAAGACATATTTCATACAACAATCATAAAAAAGGCTCAATATCACTGATCATTGGGAAAATGCAAATCAAAACTGCAATGAGATACCATCTCATACTAGTTAGAATGACTGTAATTAAAAAGTCAGAAAATAACAGATACTGGTGAGGTAGAGGAGAAAGGGAACTGTTGGTGGGAGTGTAAGTTAGTTCAACCATTGTGGAATGCAGTATGGTGATTCCTCAAAAGCTAAAAGCAGAACTACCATTGGACCTGGTAATCCCATTACTGGGTATATACTCAGAGGCATACAAATTGTTCTACCATATACACACCTGCACGTGAATGTTCATTGAAACACTATTTACAATAGCAAAGATATAGAATTAACCTAAATGTCCATCAATGATTGGATAAAGAAAATGTGGTACATATATACCATGGAATACCAGGCAGCCATATAAAAGAATGAGATCCTGTCTTTTGTGGGAACATGGATGGAGCTGGAGGTTATTTATCCTTAGCAAACTAACAAAGGAACAGAAAACCAAATACTGCATGTTCTTTCTTATAAGTGGGAGCTAAATGTTAAGAACTAATGAAGATAGAGAGTATAACAGACAGGGGGGCCTACTTGAGGATAGAGGGTGGGAGGAGGGAGAGAACCAGCAAAGATAACTATTGGGTAGTGGGCTTTATACAGGGTAATGAAATCATACGTACAACAAACTACTGCTACCTATGTTTACCTATGTAACAAACCTTCACATGTTCCCCCAAACCTAAACTAAAAGTTAACAATTAAAAATAAACAATTGAGAGTTGGGAATATAATTTATTGAAGACGATTGTTGGATTTCCTATTTCAACTTTCAATTCTGCCAGTTTTTGCTTCAACTATTTTGGACTTTGTTGTTAGGTGCATAAACATTTTTTTTCCTCCCCTGAGTTTATCCTTTCATCATTATGAACCTGGTGGACCCTTTTGTCACTCTTTATCGTAATGTCTCTTTTCTTAAAGTCTCTCATATCTTAATGCAGTCACTCCAGCTCTTCTGTGGTTATTTTTTGACAGATATATGTATATCTTTGCCATTCTTTTATTTTCAACTTATTTGTGCTTTTGAATCTATGGTATGTCTCTCAAAAACACCATATAGTTAGTCTTGATTTTTTTTAACCCAATTTGATGATCATTACCTTTTTACTTTACTTATATTGTGGAATTTACATCTATCATTTTCATATTTGCTTTCAATTTGTCTTGTGTCTTTGTTGTACTTCTGTGATTACTTTACTGCCTTATATTGAGTTAACTATATAGTTTTGTTTCTCTGTTGATTTTTTTAAGGCAGAGTTTCACTCTGTTGCCCAGGCTGGAGTGCAATGGTGTGATCTCAGTTCACTGCAACCTCCGCCACCCGGGTTCAAGCAATTCTCCTGCCTCAGCCTCCCGAATAGCTGTGATTTTTTAAAACTATATAATTTTGACTTTTCTTAGTGGTTGCTCTAGAGATTGCAATAGAATTTTAATTTAATTCTGGTAAAACACTCAACCTTGTCCCCAAGTAGCTCAACTTCTCTCCTCCTTTGTGCTATGATTGAAATCCCAGGTATTAATGGTTTAGGATAAATATAATTGGAAGCCACTGAAGTGTTTTGAGTAAGGGAGAGCTAAGTTCAGATCTGCACACCCATGTTCATAGGAGATCACACTTATGAAAAGGTCCTTACACACACACACAAACACACAAACCACACACACACACACTTCCTGTTACCTAATAGGTGAATTTCATGCTGCTGGAAGAGCAAGAATTTCTGAATGAAAAAGTATGGTTCTATTCCAGCTGTTATATTGTTAAGTCATATAACATTGTAGAGTTAGTCCTTCTTGTAAAAAGGAGCTTGTGTTCCATAGACTTTTATGGCTCAGTCTGTGATAACATATATCAGCTTATGCTGCATCTTTGGCTGAAATATAATCATCACAGAGGTTAGTGCCCATATCCCTAGGTACCCAAGCAGCAAGTGCTAACTGCTCTGTTCTGTCAGCCAGATCTTGGCTCTTGCCCCTGAACCCTCTTCTTTTGCCAGCTTTCGTATACAGTGTAGAAACTGACTGAATTAATTGTTTACCCTGAATATGGTGGTTTTTAGCCTTACTGGTAAATCATCTTTAAGACAAATTTTATTTTCCAGAAGAAATATCATTTCTTATATGTAAATATTAGTAATTACATTTCAAGGAAAGAACAATTTGTTGGATGGCAATGTGTTATCAATGAGTCATTACAAAAAATTGTTAATTTCATTCTCAGTGGTAGACACATAATTCCAAAATAATATTTTGTTTTTTTGTTTGGTTTGAGACAGTTTTACTCTTTCACCCAGACTGGAGTGAAGTGGCGTGATCTCAGCTCACTGCAACCTCTGGCCCCCCAGGTTCAAGCGATTCTCCTGCCTCAGCCTCACAGGTAGCTGGGATTACAGGCGCCTGCAACCATGCACAGCTAATTTTTGTATTTTTAGTGGAGATGGGGTTTCTCCATGTTAGCCAGGCTGATCTTGATCTCCTGACCTCAGGTGATCCACACACCTTGGCCTCCCAAAGTGCTAGGATTACAGGCATGCGCCACCGCGCCCGGCCAGTTTTTTTTTTTTATATATATACAACAAATTTTTCAACAAAATCAGATTGTATATGACAAGTTCTCCATTGTTCTTTTCATAAAGTAACTTGCAGGAACTGACTCAAGAGTCTCTTCACATGAAGGAAAATTGCATGTCAGAGCTAAGGACAACCAGGACATTGAGGTGGAGGATGAATTACAGTCAGAGAAATCAAGTGATTAGCCATTTTTAGAAGGACCATAGAAGATCTAAAATCCACATAAAAAAGTAGTATTGATATAAAGGATTTATGGGAAATAACAGACAGAAGTCAGGAGGAAAACAAACTCAGGATCCAGACTGTTTCCTTAAATGTGTTATTTGTGCTGACTATCTGAGCCCTAAATATGTACAGGCAGTTTCTCCTTTAGGGAGTATTCGGGATTCTGACCTGCTGCATAATTTAGTACATTTAATATGACATATAAAATGGAGTAAAGTTAGACATTTATTGTGCTATGTCCACGTCATATTTAGAAATTACAGAGCCCTACTTTTAATAGGACAACATCAGGGATTGTATCTACTAAAGACAGAAAGCCCTTCCCACTATAATCTTTTCCTTAGAGAATTATGAATCATATGACCCATTGGGATACCTGGAAATGATACATTCCTATATTTTAGTTCTTATTGTGTATACTAAATAGATTTTAGAGAATAAGATTAAAAAGAAAGAAAGGAGTTGTAGAGTATTCACTCTAACCATGAAATTAGGGTGATGTGTGGAACTGAAATAAAAGAAAGAGGAGCATATGAACTGGAATGTAGATTACTCTAATTCCTTCAATAGCAAGAATGCACAAAATGATGCCAACACTGACTTTCTTTATTTTATCCATCTCCTGCAAATGAGAAATACGCTAAAGAAGATCTTTGAATCCTGATCAGTAAGACATAAGAACAAAGTAGGAGAAGACATTAGAACATTTGATCATATTAGAGGAGGTGGACTTCCCAGTATTTCTGTGAATTCTTTATAAATCAGAGGGCTTCACATCTTCTTTCCTGTGCATGGTGTAATTGTCTAGATGTGCCAGGATGAGGCTCATCATTTTACAAGCACAATATATAAACACATAGGGTAGTTAGAGTTTTTAATGTGAAAAATAAATTAACATTATATCACATAATTTATGGGAAATGTGCAATATATTTTATTGACTGCCTGTAGAACTTGGAAATATGATTCATATGAATTTGCCATTTCAGCATGATGAATTGATTGTCACATTGAGGATTATGGAATTAGCTGGAAGAACAGATGATTAACCACCACAGCATTTTGGCTAGTGAAGTTTTACCTTCTGATTTTTGAACATTAATAAATCACACTTCAGCATATGGGATTATTTTGGCAATAGAGTCACTTATCAATTTAATCATTTCAAACTAGAGTAATGTGTCAGTTGCAAATGCTGCAGACATGAAAACCAGTTCCTGAGAACAATTGAGTATTATTCTTACAGTCACATTAATTACAGCTGAAACAAACCTTGAAGAGCTAAGAAAACTTAGCACAACTTATCTACTATTTACCAGAAAAAAAAGAAATCGATACGGCCATTAATTGCACAAATAGCAATAAATACTTTGGCTCCTCTCCAGGAAGTGTACCAACTGAGAGAATTTTTCATATTGCTGGTTTCATTACACAGATCGTAGTCACAGTAAACCGGGCAGTGGACTGCTGTTCAATAAACTAAATTTAATGTTACTCAATTATGATCATCGTGCTCAGATATAATACTAATAGGAACATCAACCGCTATTACATTTTCAGATTTATGTAAAATAATTCAAATGCTATTTGCTGTCCCTCAGATACAAGGTTCATCCGGTTGTTTATGCAGTTGGTTGATATTGATCGTGCACAGCAGGTAGCATAGTAGAGGCCCAATGGCAAGTATATGTAACTTCCCCTGTGCCAGCAGCTAGGGTGCTATGCCAAGCACCAGAGGCAGCATGCCAAGTCATCAAGCAGATAGCGCACCTCTGCAAAGCTGCCTTGTTTTTTTTTTTTTTTTTACAATATTTCTTTGAATTGCTCACATGTGCCATGAATAATTCTTGCCAACATTACCCAGCATGAAACAGAAACGAAAGCAGGAAAATGTCTTTCTTAGAGAATTCTTTGCAAAGCTAAATGAATCCAGAGAAGATATCACTCTGGCATCATTTTATGTTGTTATGTGTGGCTGGGGCTGTGTCATTTAGCAAAAAAAATGTTACAAAAAACTGTTTCAGTGGGCTGAACAGCTCGTACATATGATTTTGTATACCACCTGCAAAAAATATGCCAAACCATATAATCAACCACCTGGCCAAGTTAAGTAGGGTAGCTAAACACTGCTTTGTTGTTGTACCCACATTTTCAGGAAGTTTGAGAACATAAGCAGACACAGGCACAATGAACATGTGTACACGATAAGGCTTGTTAAAGCTTTTCTGTTCAATAAAGCATACAGTGCCTGCTGTTCGGAGTACTGTTGAACAGATTTGCTTTATTTCTAATGAAGGTGTTTGGGCATTTTCCTGGCACAAATGGAGTGAAATTATGTACTTAAAACAACATCTTAAAACAACAACACAACAAACCACCACTTCTATTGCACTGCAACAGATTGGAAAAAATGAAAATAGATATAAACTGAAAGTCAATAATGCATTAGTGTTGTTACTATGGATGAATCATTCGTTTAGGAGAATCTTGCTTAGTTTTGAACAACCTACGTGTCTAGCAACTTCCACTGAATTCCTTGCTGCCTAAAACATGTGTTTATTATAACAGTCTCCATACCATTGCTCGTGGGGAAAATACTTTACAGGTGGCCTCTTTACTTATTTGGCTATAAGTGAATATGAGAGTAATTTGATTGTAAACTAATCTTTATATTACCAGATTTCCAGTGTCAGCAATGTCAATCTCATTATCTCACCTTTTCACTAGCTCAGCACTGGCTTGCTTTCTGTGGCAATGCACCTTTTAAAATTCTAGTCCCTCATTGTTTGACAGATTACTGGAGGAAGAACTAATAACTAGATGAGGGTATTCAATGTGAAACAAAGGGAGTTGCTGCTTACAGACCAAGGTCTCTTGCTCTCATTATCTCTGTGGCTCTGAGTTTAAGCTCATTAGATTCTCCCTTTTGTCTCTTTTTAATATAGAAAGACTGATTTGGGACTTGTTGACTCCATCCCAACTCCTTAAGAAAAACGTTAGGATTTTGAACATATAGAGAAGTTCTGCTGTGTAGTATTAGTTTTCTACTTAAAAATCTTTTTTATTTTGGGTGATTTGGTTACCTCTTACCCCAATTTTTTTTTCCATCTTTCATTTGAGAAGAAGTTTCCCACATGGGAGCTTTTAAAAGTGCATTTGCTTTGTGAGAATATATAGAGGTATTTTGCTAGTCATTTCAAATGTTCATGTTTACTTCTATTTCCTCAAAAAGAAAAAAAAGAAAATAGAGAAGAAAAAAAGAAAATAGAGAAGAAATAAAGAACTTTTAAAACCGATTAATAAATATACTATATACATTAAATGAAAAAACTAGAATAAGGACAACATGATTTTCTTTTAATTCAAAATGATCTCTAGAACAGAAGAATCTAAGAATAAAATAAATTTCTTATAAGCATATAATTAAAATATATTATGTAATGTTCTTAAAATTAAAAAAAACAACTTTGACATTTATGTTTAATGCTCACTATGAGATAAAGAATTTCTCCTCATTATATAACCTCCCATCTTTCCAACTGTCTACATTTTTTTGGTTTGGTTATGTGTATTTTCACTTTACAATTTTTAACTTTTGCTGTATGCTTTGAAATAGTAAGAACATTATCTACTTTTTAAATTTTTGGTTGACATTGAATATATTATGTTTGAATATATTATGACGTTGAATATCAATCACTTCAGAGCCCTGTATTACAGTTAGACTAACTTGAGAAAAGAAAATAATCCATAAGTCCCTAAACTTTGCCAAAGTACATTTTGCTAAACATCCGGGACAACTACTTTTCAAAAATATATTTGCACCTATTTTTCTTCATCCTGAAATCATTGTCAGTATTTTTTCTGCCTCATATCAACTTTCTCATATTCCTACTTCCACTTTTTTTTTCTTTTCCAAGAGAATCTTTCAGAATATTTAATTTTGTTTTTTTTTCAGAGTCTCACTCTGTCACCAAGGCTGGAGTGCAGTGGTGCCATCGTGGCTCACTGCAACCTCCGCCTCCTGGGTTCAAGCAATTCTCCTGCCTCAGCTTCCCAAGAAGCGGGGACTACAGGCGCATGCCGCCACACCCAGCTAATTTTTGTATTTTTATAATTTTTGTATTTTTATAATTTTGCATTTTTAGTTTCACCATATTGGCCAGGATGGTCTCGATCTCTTGACTTCATGATCTGCCCGCCTCTGCCTCCCAAAATGCTGGGATTACAGGCGTGAGCCACTGCACCCGGCCAGAATATTTAGTTTTATATAAGATAATGGTAATGAGCACTCTCATTACTTTACGACTGAAAATGTCTTTATTTTGCTTTACACTACAATATATTAACTTAGAATTTGAAGTTCAAAATTGTTTGCTTGCACAGTTTTCAAAACTTTCAAGACATCCCTCCACAGGTTTGCAGAATCTGGTGTTATAAGCACTGTATTAGGTCAGTCTGATTTCTAACCCTTGTGGGTAGGATGTTTTTGTATATACATTATTTCTTTCATCTTGCTTCAGTAATTTGTGAACAGTCAAATCTTTGAAGACTATGTTCAGGAGATTTTCCAGGGATTTTGTGTTTTCTATTTTGTTTGTAGTGTTTGTGTTTTCTATCTCGTTTCTATCACATTCTCAGCTCTGAAGCATAGGCAATTGTTAAACAACTGGAAGTAAATCTCCTTGTTAACTCTTCTCTTATGTCTGCTTTCTTTTTTCTTTTTTCTTTGGCTCTTTATATTAGGATGTGTTTTCAGTTTATTGTTCACATCAATAGCTGGCCCTTGAAACTTATCTCTTTCTCTTATCTCTTTCTAGCTATATATTGATAATATTGTTAATTTCCAGAAACCCTTTGTTACTCTTGTTATTTTCTTTCCTTAATTCCTTCATTCTTGCATCTCCTCACTTCCTCCCTCCCTTTCTCCTGTCCCCTCTTCTTCTATTGCTTCCTTCCTTTCCTCTTTCCATTCTTCCTCCTTTCTTTCCTTTCAAATATATAGTAGACTATTCTGGTTTTCTTGAAGTAACTACCTATCATATTTCCCTGATGATGTCAAAAGGAGTTTTTTCAATCTAGATGCAAATATTGACGTAAAATGTTATTTTTGTTCTTTTTTCTGTTACTGAAAAATGTTTAATTATATTTGGAAAATCCTGGGGATCTGAATCTACTTTCTCAATTTGTTTTATTATATGTAAATAAATCAAGTATTTCTGATAAAAAGCTAGCATCTGAAATTGAGATAGGGTATAAATGTAAAATCATGCTGGAGTTGCAAGAACAGTAAAATAAAGGAAAATATATCATTAATAGTTTTATATTGATTATATTTTGAAATATTTTAAATATATTAAAAAATGAAATATTAAAATTAATTTTAACTTCTTCGTGCTTTTTATGTGGCTACTAGAAAATTAAAATACATGTATGTTTCTTATTATATTCTTGCCAGACAGCACTATATATACCACAATATATACCACATGGCTGGTATATTTATATATATATATATATATATATATATATATATATATATATATATATTCATATCAGTAAATTCAATCAATCTGAAACCATGTTATCTCTATTTTGGTCTAGTGTTCCCAGAAATTACTTTTACCCACAATTTTTATTTTTTTGCCATATATGTATTAATATTATAATCTTTTTTATAGTGTGTAAATGTTCTGATCCTTTGGGACTCAGCATGCTTAATCTGACCTTAGTAGAGGCCCTGTTAGCACTGACAGGCAGTTGGAGGTGGACATGAGGTAAAACCCCTTCAGAGTCTATAAGCAAGGCATGACTCTGCGGGCAAGTGAGGCTTCATGGGAGTGGGAGTTTGGGAGTCATTTAAATCAAATAAATCATTTCAAATATCATCATTCTCAGTATCAGTCTCCAACTCTTTACCAATGAATACTCTAATTAGTGCATAAGATACTAGAAGATTTTGTGAATTTTATGTATGTTGTAATTTCTCAACCCAGAGCATCTGGCTCTGAATTTTTTTAGAGTGGTCATAGAAATATTTTTCTTTCTACCATGGCTTTTTTTTTTTTTAATAAAAAAAAGACTTAAAGCCTATCATGTTACTGCCCCTTTAAACTCACCAGTGTGTGAAACAACCATTCTTCCTCATGGTGTTATATTCCTCATTTCCAGTGTGATGGTATGGCAGCATCCATTCAGTCTGCCAAAGAGGGACTGTGAATCATAATTTAAGCAAATCATTTGCAATCTGCATGTACAGGTTACTGGCACTCTATTTGAAAATAATTTAATCACTGCCATGGAGATCAACCAGGAATCAATTCCAGATTCCTATCACCAGAGTGGTGCTGTAAGTTACTGCGTTATGTGAGTCTCATGACAGATAAAATCTACTCTAGATAGTTTAACAAGAAAGAAATTTAAGAGAAGAAATTAAGTTTAACATTGTTGGGTGATATAGTATAATATCCAGAAATGACTGTCAGAGCAATGCTTCCGAACTGCCTACCTATGGGAGCTATAAACTCTACCACTTCTGAAAATGTAAGAATGAAGGAGCTATCATCACAACTTCAATTTTCTAGGTTACATTGTCACTGTTGGTACAAAATAAATATCTGCGTAGGGTTTTGTGAACCATCTGCAGTATTTCTTCATACTAGTTTCCAAGAACAGGAAACTTAGAACCAGAGAAGTAAATTTGTGAGCAGACACTGTAGAAATCCAGGAAAAAAGATACTAATATGAAGAATATTATTATAGATAAAGAGAGGCACAAAATAATAGCAAAAGCATTTATACAGAAAGATATTATAATTCTAAACTTTTGTGTACTTAGTAACATATGATTAAAATATGCAGCACAAAAAAGATATAAACACATAGAGAAATAGACAAATGTACCATCAGAGTGGATGATTTAATATACCTGTCACAGTAATTGATAAATCAAGCAGACCAAAAAAAATCTATAAGGGTATAGGCAATTTGAATAACATAATTAACAAGCTTGATTTACATATATAAATACATATATTCTGAAAAGTAACCTTAATATAAATAGTAATGAATATACATTTTTCTGAAAAGAAATAATAATAATAATTTGTTGTTCAAGCACGTATGTATATTAAACTTTAAGCATGCTTGCCTTTTACTCCACAGGGAGACATTACATCTATCTTCCAAGGCTGTCTACTATGCAAAAATCCTTTAAAAGATAATCCTGGACAAAGGGTAGTCATTGCCTTGCTTGCATGACATAAAGACCCATGGAGAATTGTCTACTAATAATGGCCTGACTGAAATATGGCAGTTTTGAGATTACCCACTAAATATCTTAAATACATATCATCGAATGTGTCTTATGTTGCCTTTGAACTCTTAAAACACTTGCCACAAGTAGTTTTACAATTTTGTCGTGGTAAAGTAGTACACAGGTGCACTGAATTCTCTTTCACCTTTGAGCGTTTACTGGATGGTATCATGTGCTTAGAATTCTCCTTTTGCCTTTGCTCTTGCTATGGTTTATACTGGGTGTAGTATAATTCCCTGCCTCACTGGCATTGGGCTTGGACATATAATTTACTTTGGCCAGTGAAAGATGAGTTAGCTTCACACATGCTTCTGTGGACTTGCCTGGTTTAGCTTACACTCTAGGTGCCCTGCTCTGTGCCGTGAAAAAGAAAAATACCTTAGATAGTGATCGCTTCTTCAGCTTAGACCTTGTTTTAGTCCATTTAGTGTGGTAATAACAGACTACCTAAAACTGGATAATATATTTAAAAAGTTTACTTGGCTTATAATTCTGGTGGCTGGAAAGTTCAAGACCAGACAACTGCATCTGGTGAGGTCCTCTGGCTGTTCCAGTTCATGGCAGAAAGCACAAGAGGATCTCTTTGCATGTGCAAAGAGATCACATGGACAGAGGGGAAGGTGGGGAAGTGTCAAGCACTTTTTCATAACCAGCTCTACCAGAAACGAATAGTGTGAAATCTCCCTCACCCCCAGGGATGACATATTCATGAGGGTTCCACCCACCTGACACAAACACTGTCCACCAGCCCCACCTCCCAACATTAACACATTGGAGATCAAATTCCCGCATGAGGTTCAGAGGGCACAAACATCCAAACCACAGCAGTCCTAAAATGAAACATAAGCAGAACTGACCTGTGCCCATTCTTCAGGCTGAAACACAGGTGCTGCAGCCACTCCACAGATCTGTGTACCAAAAAAAAAAAAAAAAAAGAAACGGAAAAAAAAATGCTGGTGTTGAAAGCTACTGAGATTTTGGAGACTACTATGCAGAATTATTGAAACATAAATTGACTAATTTGGAGGGAATATTTTGTTATTTCCCAGACCACTGGACACCCAGAACATTTACTTAAGTCCAGATGTCTGAGATTTTGTGGGAATTAGCTCATATATTGTTCCAAATAAAGAATATTTCAGAAACTTTTGTCTAAAATTGGGCGTGGTTTTCAGTGCTCAAATCTAATTACTTCATTGGGTATGTTGTGTGGCAATTTTTTTCACCTCAACCCTCACACACATAATATGTGAAAATTGAAGCCTCTGTATCTGAGGTGTGGCTCATAAGCAGAGCAATTAAATTCCAACCTCAGGACCTCCTACTTAATTGGGTAATTCACTAACAATATCCATTAAAGTGAGGCTTTCTTACTGCTAATCCAGTTCCTGGGTAATTGCTTTGAGTTCTACAGAGGAAATCTAATCCTCCAATTTATAGTAGAAATGATTTGTTTCAAAGTAATTTCATATGGCTCTTTCTTTTTTAAAAAATGTTAATCATAACAATATTATACAATAATTATTACTTCCATTTTATATATAGATTATTAATATAATTCATAATATTTTATTAATAAATATTTTCATTTTACATATAAAGAATAATGAAAAATTAGATTATACCAGTGTGAGTGTGGGAAATATTCTTTGGATAATGATAGAATATTTTTTAAAAACATGCTATCAATGGATAAAACTCTAACTTGCAAATGAAGATTAAAGAAATGTCTGAATGAAACAGATTTGAGTATTGGTGCTTATACAAGACTTCAATTTCATGAACTATCATTATAAAATATTTTTTGTAAATAGGCTGGAGTCTATATATCTACATATTTACATCTATATCCTTATGAAACTCTCTAGAATTTTCAAAAATATTTAATATATATCCATTATCTATGTCTTAAAGAGTTCATCTAAAGTAAGAAAAAGCAACTAGCAAATAACTAATGTCAGTAAAGACCCACCTGCTATTACTTAATCATACCCATATTCTGCAGCAAAACAGCCATGTCAGGGTCATTACTGAGAAGAATGTCAAATTGGCCGATTTAATGTTACTTAGGGCTTACTTTATCTATATAACTGTCTCAGATAAGAATTGCAAGCTAATAATAATTACATTAGTGTCAGAAGTGTAGGGGACACCTATGGTTTATTTAGTAGGGAAAGATAGTTTTAATGTTTAAATTGAATTTTACTGTCTACTTCAAGATAGTTAAAATAGCATATGTAAAATATTCAGCCTCCCCTTTAATGGTTGATAGCTGAAAAATACAATATTGTTTGAAATAGCTTGTCTGCTGCTACCTCAGTCGAAGTTGCTTGTCTAAAGGCATGTGGTAGCTTAACTCGGTTATTCACAGATATAAATAATGTTACTATATTTTTATGAAATACAATTTTAAAACATTATTATTATTATTATTAGAGACAGAGTCTAACTCTGTCACCCAGGCTGGAGTGCAGTGGTGAGATCTTGGCTCACTGCAACCTCCCCCTCCCGTATTCAAGTGATTCTCCTGCCTCAGCCTTCTGAGTAGCCGGGACTACAAGTGTGCACCACCAAGCCTGGCTTTTTTTTGTATTTTTAGTAGGGATGGGCTTCACCATGTTGGCCATGCTAGTCTGGAATTCCTGGCCTCAAGTAATCTGCCAGCCTCAGCCTCCCAATGCGCTGAGATTACAGGCATGAGCTACTGAGACCAGCCACATTTTTAAAATATCTTATTATTAAAAGTTACCAACCATCTGTACTTCATTTGTACCCTGTGGATTTAAAAACATTATTCCTTTTGGTATAATGATGCATTTTCCAAATTCATATACCTAATAGGAAAAAAATCTTTACAAAAGTAAATTTGTATATAATAACCTTTAAAGTAATGTGATCTGCATATGATCATGGTTCTCACGCACAGATACAACACACACACTCCAGATTTCACACACACACACACACACACACTCACACATTCCATATTTGACATTGAGCCACCAGAAGCAATTATGAAAGAGTAAAAAAGGATACAGAAAACTAGTACAACCTGTAAAGCTATTTTGGAAATGGAGCCTATCTATATAATTTTTAGAAATTCTTAATTTTCAAAGACAGTGAAGATTCCCCAGTATATATGTGTCACTCATATAAACTAAGTAACAACCACCTTAAAAATATTTGCCATCGCCACAATAGTAGGTTGTTTTTGTTTTAAAACTTTCCTATCTTTAAAATGTTAAGAATGATTTGTTACCACATCTTCATTCATAATAGAAATGTTGAACATGGAGAATAGCAACAAAATTTAGGTTGATAGTATGTAAAGAGAAACAATTAGATGTACATGTGATTGATTCAAAGTTAGCACAAATCTATACTAAATAATCTAGCACGGCAGAGGGCAGTGATGCCAGATAACTTTTGGAGGATGTTGCTCTTTTCTATTTGGAAAAAAAAATGGAATTGACAGCAAAGAGAGACTTTGTTTCCATTGTTACATCAGCCAATTCGGTAGTAGTTAGAAAGATTAAATGCAAAGGTGTCTGAGGGGGTCCATGTTAGTCTTTCTCCTTCATGTGAAGCTCAGCTGTCAAATCTGTCAGAATAACTGGTCCAAATGTCCAGAGAGTGCTTGGCCAGGAACAACAGTTAACAGAACAACATATTTATGTAGTGTTTTATAGTTTACAAGGCATTTCGCCACACATTGTCCTCTTTGTTCCTCACAACCACCCAGAGAGATTGATACATGGAATATTGTATTTTTCAGGTTCAAAGCTAAAAGCTGAATGAGTTTAAGTAATTCACATATGAACACATAGCTTATGGTAGCATATTCAGTACCTAGATCAAAGTTTTCTGATTCTAATCACAGACTTACTTCGACTGCATCTGCTCTGTGAGAAGATTCAAATCGTATATTTCATCAAGACATAAGATATATCATAAGTTTGTTAAATGTCAAATATGCGAAAATTTTTCTAGATGCCTTCAATTTGCCCATGAACTTATTTTGCTCTAATATTAATTAACATCATGAAACATCTATTCTGCAAAGCATATGAAAACAAAATGTGCATACAATGGGCTTCCTACTTGAATGTTAGCTGTGTTAGTGGTATGATAAATTGTTTACTTGGGGTAAGATAACTTGCAATGTTTTTTACAAATATTCTTAGGGAAATCATTCTAAAAGCAAAAATAAACAAAATGAAATGTAAAGATATAGGTGTTTCTCTGTGAGTGTGTGCACGTGTGAACATTTCTCACTTCAACCTATAGGGTGCTTCCTATACCAAGTTTCAAGCTAGACCCTGGAAATGCAACAAAAGAGTGAGTTTTATTAGCAGCGAGTTTTATTAGTAGTAGCAAGTGCTACTCCTACACGTAAGCTCAGCCTCATAAGGGAGACTGATATTAATCAAATAATCATTTTTTTATTTGTTCTTTAATTCAGCTAACATTATGTGGCATTAAGCAATGGGAAATTACTCTAAGTGCTACAGATTCAATTGCCTAAATATAAATGCATTACTCACAGATATGAAGTAATAGAGTTTGTACCTTCATATATTCTATAACTGGAACACACAACCGGATCTGCCTGAAAGCAGAGGCTCGTGAAAAGTTCACCATACCACAGACCTTTTTCGCATACCTAGAAAGTACCAACTCAAGCTGGAAATTTATTTGAAGCATCTCTTTTGGCTCAAAAATGTATGTAAGTTTGCATTATTAAAATATATGTAAATATGTATTTATACAATATAATAGTATATATATATTATTATAGTATAAAGACATACAGAATTTACCTCCAAATTTTTGAGTAAAATTGATTCTTGGAGTAGATGTTCTATTGAGACACAGTTGCGGAGTGGGAAGCAATTATTTCCTTTGCAATATTTTTTTAAAATATATTTTTAAAAGTACAGGAATTAAGACTGAGAGACATAGAATAAGAAACTGTTCTGAAGACCCAGAAATGCAAAGATGGAATAACATACTGAGAAGGTCTTATTGCATTCTTTTTTCATGGTATTAGAGTGATTAATACCTATCTTGCAGAAAACCAATGAAATAATATATGTAAAGGCAGTTCTCAGAGCCTAGGACATATAGTAAAAAATCAATCAATATTAAAATATATTCTTGGCTGCTTTTTGCAATAGCTCAGTTTGGAAGTGATGAGGCGCTCATTAAAGAGAGAGATATTGGGGATGTAACATCTCTGGCATATGTCCTATCTGTTCTTCTTCAATCTGTGCCCCAATTCAATATAAGAACAAGGAAAAGATAACCCCATTGTTAGGAATCGGAGTGACTGTACAAAAGATAATGAATTGAATAGAATTAAGAAAGCCAGTGAGCTGGGTCTAGTTTGCTGATATAGGTGAAAAAATACATGTTGTTTTATTTAACTCTTAATAAGAAACTTGTTTTTTTTTTAATAACAAAGTAAAATACTGAAGTTCCTGCTATTATTTTTGAAAACTATTTGGAAAAATTATTTTCATCATTATCCCCCCAGGTGCAGTATGATAGCTGTGATGAATGCTTGATCTGTAATAAATGACCACCTTTTATCTCACAGGTAATTTTACACAACCAGAGAAAGCTGTCAACATTTCAAAATAGGAAGTATGATGATGTGGCACATATTAAGTCTTACAAGGGTTAATTATAAACATGGTCCTACAAGTCTATGGTTCAAATATAAAATCAAAAAGTCTTTGTTAGTTATTTCCAAAAACAAAATTGTAATTCTTTACTAGGTGGAAATATAAAGTGGGACTTTTAAAGTTAGTGAAGCAGTCCTGTGTAACATGACTTGTACTCCTATGCATTATATAGCCCAATGTCATAGAAAGCTGGATTGAATTTTGTCTATTATTTTTATATTATTTTATAGTTTATATTGCCAGGCACATCTGGATATGATATCATCCTTTATAGCCTATCTAGATTCAAATATCATTTATTTCTTTAATATTTCTCTACATTACCTAGACGTATCATTACTGATTTCTCTAACATTTTTAGAATATTGGCACTTTCCCCTTATCATTTGATTTTCTCTAATTATTACAGTTAGAGATTTTATCTTCAATCCAACTTTCCCCTTTTAGGAGACACTGCTAAAAATTGGAATGGCTTCTCTTTTTGCCAATTCAGATTTTCAAATGGCTAACAGTTTACAAGTATTAAGCTTATCAGAATCCTTTAATTTCTCAAAAATAGTTTCCTTCATATAGAATAGCCTCCTATTACCTCTGAAAAAATTAGTAGCCTCAATATTTTGTAGACCAACATGGAGATAAAGGGGTCTGGAATATTCTTTAAATTGTTTTCTAATTGGTTCTATGGTGGTGGTGGTGGTGATGGTGTGTGTGTGTGTGTGTGTGTGCACGTGTGTGTTTGATGTACACACAATCATGTGTTCAATCTCTGTCTGTTGGTGGTGGTAAAGTACTTCTTTCTCCCTTTTCAAATAAAAATGTCTTAGTGTAAAGAAGACACATAAACTATCAAATGCAATGTGATGTTTTTGTTAAATAATAAGCAACAGAAGCATACAGAAATAAATATTTCTCATGGAGCTAAAATATATACAACTATAAAATCATAAATATACTGGAGAATTATAATATGAATTTGTGAATTGTATGCAAATAGCTTGAAACCAGATCTATAAAGACATAAATAAAGCAACAAGACTGAAAGGTTTATACGTTGGCTTGTTTATAGAGTAGCACAAACATTTTTCTTTTTTAATTGGCAATTAATTTTCGGCAGCCATCTAGGTACTTTCATGTCAAATTACTTTCCCTACACTAAACAAGATTAGGCATCCAAGCAGCAAAGCACTTATGTGAAAGTGAGAAACTGACTGTCAAGTAGATATTTTCCACCTATAACCAATTAAAATGTTTCCTTTTTGATGAATGGGTGCTGTAATATCACATTTTGTATTTTTACCTAAGTACATACCTGTATAACGTCCTGGTTCACAAGTGCTAAAAAAGATGGGTACTGAGATTTTTGTTATTTTCTTCATGCAATTTACCTTCAGAATAAAATGAACGAGCATTTTCCATGGAGGTGAAGGAACACTTTAAAAGACAGCTTTCTTACACTGCTGCACACAAATATACAATAGAACATAAACATATATATAGGTTTATGGGTTTGTGTAAAAACATATATAGAGAGATGCATATATATTTGTTTTAAGCAATAAACTTCAAAAAATATTTTCATCAAATGACTTTTAGCCTCTCAGTTCCTTGCAGATTATCATTTTACATTAAAATGTAAATATGCCTGTATTTAAAAATTAGATCATTGACACATAAGGTAAAAAAAGTAATGTATTATTGATAATCTTGAAGTGAATGACATAAAAAGAAAAATATTGATTTTTTGAAGATGTCTCATTTTTCTTACTTCACAGAAGACTGATGCAGGTTCACGAGCCTATCAATATTATTTGAATTAATGCATATTCCTTACTATTGATTGTTTTAATAATGATTGTCATAACTGATTTATGGGCACTTATGCCTGTTAAATATTTTAAAAAGTAAATATCAAATTTGTATATATAAGTAGATTGACTTGAATAAACAACAGAGTTGGATGTTAATATTATGCCTTTTGATCCAATCCATGTTGTTATACATTATGCAAGATGCATTTTTAAGATAGTAGCAAAAATCCAACTAAAAGTTGATATTTGATCACACTGCTCATTAGAATTAAGTATAATGAAGTATTTTCAATTTTGAGGCAGTGGTTCTCATGTTACTTGAAAATGTACTTATCATCTGTGAGAACAATTAAGATTTATTAAACCAAAACATAAAATTTCAGCATACTCTTAATGTATTTAAAATGGATTTGTTACTATAGCTTAGAATAGAATATAGGATTACAATTCTTATTTTCAGCTTTCTGTGAAGACTGATACCCAATACTTCCCCCATTCTCCCATTCAATGGGCTGTCTTTTCATGTCCTTGATGACATCATTTGCAGTACAAATATTTTAATTTTCATTTAGCTAGATTTGTCTATTTTTCTTTTATCACTTGTTTTTGATATCAAACCTAAGAAATTGTAATCTAATCCTAGGGCATAAGGACGTATTTCTAAGTATGCCTCTAAGTGTTTTATAGTGCCAGCATTTACGTTCAGATCTATGATCTATTTTGAGTGAATTTTTGTATACAGTGTGAGGTAGGAGTTTGAATTCATTCTTTTGTATGGGAATATTGTCTCAGTGGTAGATTTCAATCATTTGTTGAAGTGATTCATTTCTGCAATGATTTGTTGTTTCCCTATTTAATTGTGTTGGTGTCCTTGCCAAAAATTAGCTGATCTAAATATAAAAGGGGTACCAATAGGCTGTCAATTCTACTCCATTTATTATATCCACACACACACACACACACACACATACACACATATACACATATATATACATATATATATATACATATATATATAAAATCATCTATATCCTTATACTGATACTACACAGTCTTGATTATCCTGGCTGTATAGTAAGTTTTAAAATAGAGAAGTGTGATTTTTTCAAATATATTATTCTTTTTCAAGGTTACCCTCCTTATCTTTAGTAAAAACTTTTGTTTGAAAATCAAAAACTTTTGTCAGAGAGTAGTATAGACACTCCACATCTTTTTTGATT